>NC_000003.12:127341937-127493452 GCF_000001405.40 Homo sapiens | reverse complement strand
GTTTGGATGTGTGTCCCTCCAAATCTCATGTTGAAATATGATCCTTAATGTTGGAGGTGGGGCTTAGAGAGAGGTGTTGGGTAATGGGGGCGGATCCCCCATGAATGGCTTAGTGCCATCTCCTTGGTGGTGAGTTCTCACTCTGCTAGTTCATGTGAGAGCTGGTTGTTTAAAAGATCTTGGCATCTCTTTTGTTCCCTCTCTTGCCATGTGACAACACTGCTCCATGTCACCTCTGCCAGGATTCTAAGTTCCCTGAGGCCTTACCAGAAACTGAGCAGATGCTGGTGCCATGCTTGTATAGCCTGCAGAACTGTGAGCCAAATAAACCTCTTTTCTTTATAAATTACCCAATCTCAGGCATTCCTTTGTAGCAATGCAAAATGGACTAACACAGTTCTGATGTCATACCAGCCTGGGACCATCTACTCAGAGAAGAATTAATTCCATCTTGTTCAAGCCATGTAATTTGGGGTTTCAATTTATCTACAATCAAACCCCAATAATACTAGCTCTTTTTGTGTTTGCCTCTCCTGAACACCAGCTTCAGTGCCTCCTCATGCAGGTTCTACTGTCTCCCATTGTTCCTGACTCCCACTATTAAAGATGGTTGAATGGCTCCCCCAGCTACAGTGCAAAAACCCTTGGAAGGACTCTGATTGGTCCAACATGGGTCAGTTGGCCATAGGTCAATCAACTGTGGCCAGGGAGGCAGGCCAAGAAGCACAGAAGGAAAAGTTGGGGCCACCCAGGTAGCGTGGGCCACTCCCAGGGCAGTTCCACCACAAGGTTGCTGCATGGGCTAGGTCCCCTGCCCACTCCCCTGTGGCAGCAAGTGATGCTCAGCTAGTCATGTGTCTCTGTGGGCCAGATCTCTGAGGGGACATGAAGGCTACATGCCAGTTTGTGCCCTGGAACCAGTCTTCAGCCCCTTCCACTGCTGGAAGCTTCCAGCCTGCAAGGCAGAGCAGAACAGTGAACAGTATGGATTCCAGATCAACTCTCAGCGTTCTCACATTTCTGCTGTGTAAACTGAGCAGGTCATTTCACCTCTCAGATCCTTGGCTTCCTCTTCTGTGAAGTGGGGATTGTAACAGGTCCCACCTCTCAGGTTCCTGTGGGGATGAGATTCGCCGAGCATCACAGCACAGAGTGCTCTGTCTGGCCCTTGGAGGCTGCCTAGTAAATGTTGGCTCCCCTGTTTGACCAGGCTCAGAGGGGAAGTGACAGGCCCAGGTCCCACTGGGGTCTGTGTGCACGGACTCCTCTCCCTTCTAGAACTCAGTCTCCTTGCAGCTCACAGCGCTCTCAAGTCTTCACCCTTTTCATTCAGCAGGGAAGTGGGATCCCCTCACTAGTTGGGGCCTAGGACCACCCACCCAGACCCAACTATCCCTAATGCTCTGATAAGCCCAGTTCCTTCCCTCCCACCCTTGCCCGGAGTCAGTGCTGCGTTTTGCTTTTGCATTTTTTATTGTGGTAAAAAAATACATAACATAAAATTGGCGTTCTTAACCAGTTTTACATGTACAGTTCAGTAGCATTAAGTATATTCCCATTGTTGTACTACCATCACCACCATCCATCCACAGAACTTTTTTTCTTTGAGACAGAGTCTTGTTCTGTCACGCAGGCTGGAGTGCAGTGGCGCAATCTTGGCTCACTGCAACCTCTGCCTCTTGGGTTCAAGCAATTCTCCTGCCTCAGCCTTCCAAGTAGCTAGGATTACAGGCACCTGCCACCACGCCTGGCTAATTTTTTGTATTTTTAGTAGAGATGGGTTTTTGCCAAGTTGGCCAGACTGGTCTCGAACTCCTGACCAAAAAGTGATCCACCCGCCTCAGCCTCCCAAAGTGTTGGGATTACAGGTCTGAGCCACTGCACTCAGCCAGAATTCTTTCATCTTCCCAAACTGAACCTCTGTCCCCATCAAACACTAACTCCCCATACCCCACCCCCAGCCCCTGGCGACTCCCATTCTACTCTGTCTCTAGGATTGTGACTGCTCTAGGGACCTCATGTGCTGGAAGGACAGTATGTGTCCTTCTGTGACTGGCTAGTTTCATCTAGACTAGTGTCTGTGGTATTCATCCATGTTGCAGCATAGGTCAAAATTTCCTTCCTTATTAAGGCTGAATCATATTCTACTGTATATATGTGTGTGTAGACACACACACACGCACACACACACAGGCTCATCACATTTTGTTTATCCATGTATCTGTCAGTGGACATCAGAGTTGTTTTAGTTTTACGATTAAATTTTTTCTTTTTCTTTTTAGAGACAGGGTGTTGCTCTGTTGCCCAGGCTGGAGTGCAATGGTGCAATCCTAGCTCACTGTAGCCTTGACCTCCTGGGCTCAAGCCATCATCCTGCCTCAGCCTCCTGAGTAGCTGGGACCACAGGTGTGTGCCACTGCACCAGCTAAGTTTTTAAAGCGTGGTTTTAATGCCCTTTTGCTGAGTAGGCCTAGGAGGGGCCCTGGGGAGGGGCTGAGGCTCCCTTGAGGATCCCCTCTGATTTGCTTAAATGCCTTCTAACCAAACACCCCAGCAGGCATAGACTCTCAGTTAAGGAGGTTTTAGGGCTGGCTGTCAGGAGCTGGATGGGCTGGGGAAAGATGGGGGCCCATGAGAGGAAGGCAAGGGGGGGTGGGCATGGTGGGGGTAGGGGCTAGAATTCCAAAGCTGCAGGAGATGAGGCATCCAGGCTCAGGGGTGTGTCCTCCCACGGGGCAGGTGCCTTCGGGCTGGCTTTCCAGCTCCACAGGGGAGGGACATTCACAGGTCCTGGAGAGGGGTGGGAGGAACCCCAGCTTCTCATCCCAGTTTTGTTCTGGCTGGGAAACCTCCGACCTCTTCCAGAAGAATCTGACCCTGCCTTCTGCCCCCCTGAGCAGTGCTCTGAAACTCAAATATGGCCCTGTTGCTCCTTCCACGAGCTAGGGCCAGGGCTACAGAGAAGCAGAGGAGGCAGTGGTCCCAGTTGTGAGCAGGCAGGCACTGTCCACCATGCAGGAAGCGCAGTGTGCGGATGTCAGGTGTGGGTGGTGGAGGGAGATGGCCTGGGCTCCAGTCTTAACTCTGACTTACAGCTGTGGGATCACAGGCAAGTCATGTATTATCTCTGGGCCTTGGTTTCCCCATCTGTAAACTGGGGATACAAATAGCTGCTCTTTCTAGGTGGTGGTGTGAGGATGTCAGTCTGCTCAGGCTGCCATAGACTGGGTGGCTTCAACAACAGACACTTACTTTCTCATAGTTCTGGAGACTGGGAGTCCAAGACCATGGTGCTGGCAGGCGCAGGTTCTGCTGAGGGCTCTCTTCCTGGCTGCAGACAGCTGCCTTCTTGCTGTGTCTCCATGTGATCTCTTATCTGTGCATGTTTGGAGAGCAAGAGAGTGAGTTTTCTGGTGTTTCTTCTTCTAATTCTTTTTTGGTTTAGAGACAAGCTCTTGCTCTGTTGCCTAGGCTGGAGTGCAGTGGCACCATCATAGCTCACTGCAACCTTGAGCTCCTGGGCTCAAGGGATCCTCCCACCTCAGCTTCCTGAGTAGCTGGGACCACAGGTGCATACCACCATGGTGCCTCTTCTTATGAGAACAGGAATCTTATGGGATCAGGGGCCCACCCCATGCTCTCATTTCACCTTCATTACCTCCTGATAGGCCCAGTCTCCAAATGCAGTCACAGTGGAGGCAAGGGCTTCAACATATGACATCTGAAGGGGACACAGTTCAGTCCACAGCCGGGATGAATGTGGCTGTCCCTGTGGAGTTCAAAAACCCAGGGATTTTGCTATTCCAGTTGTCATCTCCTAATTCTTGCTCCTGCCGTTTCCTCTGTCCTCCGGAGCATACTTCCTCACCTACTCCAGGAAGCCCTCCCTACTAGACCGGGTGAGGTTCCTCCTGCCCTGGGCTTCCACTGGCCTGTGGGGCCTCTTGCTGCCCCTTTGTCTATGACAGCAACACTCTGTGACTGTGACTTTCAATAATGGGCTTATCTAATGTCCACTCACCAGTGTGTTCCTGTGGGATTGGGGATTCGTCATTTCCCTGTCTTCAGTGTGCAGCCCAGGCCCCAGGATGCCCCAGGGGCTCAGTTGTCAGCTAGGGGACTGGCGGCTGTAGGCCTCAGTTTCCCATACCCAGTCACTCTCTTGCACCATTCAGGTCTCAGCTCAAAGGCCACCATGTCCGAAAGGCCTTCCCTGACCACCCGGATGGGGCTCTCCTCCCTGTCACTCTGGAGCCCTTGCCCAGATTTATTTTTCACTTGGCACTTACCACGGCCTGAATCACCCTAGTTCTTTA
This sequence comes from Homo sapiens, assembly GCF_000001405.40. Classification (NCBI taxonomy): domain Eukaryota; kingdom Metazoa; phylum Chordata; class Mammalia; order Primates; family Hominidae; genus Homo; species Homo sapiens. The sequence continues at coordinate 127,489,136 of NC_000003.12, read as the reverse complement.
TTTGTGTCTACTTCTACTTACTTATCACCTGGAGTGTAAGCCCTCTGAGGACAGGGACCTTGTCTGATATCTCTGGCACAGTGCATGTGACACATAATTGCTGACAACAGCAGAGCGGGCAGTTGAGGACTCTTGAGGCCAGAGCAGGGAGGCAGCATGCCTTGGGTCTCCTGCACAATTGCCTTGCTTGCAACACCCCCGTGCCCTCACTTGAGCAGGTGAACAGCATTTGCCAAGCACTTTTCTTATCCCTAACCTCATTTGATTTCTTAAATACACCATTTCACAGACGGGAACACTGAGCCTCAGATGGCTGAAGCAGCCTGCCCAGGGCTTGGTGGCAAATCAAGGGCTGAGTCAGGCCTTGGGCAGGTCTGGCTGCTGCATTCCTTCCTTTTCCTCTGCCCCTTTCTCTTTTGAGGGTCATCCCCCACAGCACCCCATCACAGGGTCCTCAGAATGGTGTCTTTCCCATTTGGATCAGTTATTCATCTCCTCTCTGCCTGGGCTCTTGTTTTCCAGCTCTTGGGGGACTCACTTGTGCCCTGAGTGCCATGCCCTCTGACCAGGATGCACCTCCCACTCCTGTCTACATGGGGACTTCTCCCTGTCCATTGGGACCCAGCTCTCCTGCTCCTTTAGCTTTGTCTGAATCCTCTCTCCTCTGAGGCCCGGGGCTGAGTACAATCTCCAGCACACAGTGTGTCCGGGGCCTGATTGGTCAAAATCATTGTGTTCCAAGAGCCAGAAACCTACAACGGACTGATCAGGCAATGAGGAGAATGTGTGGGTGCGTTCAGCCCAACCAGGAAGACCAGGGGTCAGCTGCCAAAAGATACCTGGGGCGGGATGCTTCCTTACTCTTCCCGTTGGATTCCCACGTGTCTCTGCACGTTGGCTACATTCTCTCAGGCTAGCTTCTTCTGTGGCCCTGGAATGGTGGCACCTGCAGCTCCCTGGTTTACATTTTCTGTTTGTAAACTCAAACATCTTGGAGATTGGCTCTGAGTGGCCAGTTTGGGGCAGACCAATCACTGTGGCCAGGGAAATGGAAGCATTTGAAGCAAAATCACAGACTTACTGGCATTACAGCTCAGATGCACAAACCTTCTTTCTCCAGAACAGATCCGATTTCCGCACATGTGCCTACTCTGCTGTGTGTGTGTGTATACTTATGTGTGTGTGTGTACTCATGTGTGTTTGTGTGAGTGTGTACTTGTGTGTTTATACTCATGTGTGTATACTTGTGTGTGTGTACTCATGTGTGTTTGTTTGTGTACTTGTGTGTGTGTACTCCTGTGTATGTACTCGTGTGTGTGTGTTTGTACTCATGTGTATGTGTGTGTGTATGTCTGACTATATTGGGGTACATGCTCAGTCTTTCCATTGCCCCCTTTCATTCCCTTCCTTGAAGTCCCTGTGATTGTGGAAGTCAATCCTGTGTGCTCTCTGGTGGCAAGGGAGGGGAGGTGTGAGGGGAGGGTGGGGGGGCTGGGTGCCAAAAAGGAGCCAGCTACGCAGAGGTGAAGGAGTGGTGTGGCAGAGCAGTCAGGCAGAAGGTGCAAGGGTCCTGGGGGAAAGAGTGTTTGTGGCACGTTCGAGAAATACCACAGAAATCTGTGTGGAGGAGGTCAGTGGAGGGGTTTGGTTCAGGTCGCATAGGATCCTCTTGGCCATTGAATTACGTGTGAGATGGGGAGACATGATGGGGGCTGAGCAGAGACACCGTCTGACAGGCACGTAGAAGACTCGCTCTGGCTGTTGGTAGGAAGGTCAGGAATGGTGGCAGGGAGACCAGAGGGGTGGCTGCTGCAATTGTCCAGGCCAGAGGAGCAGTGGCTGCAGTCAGGGTTGCAGCAGGAGGGTGGGGAGAATTCTGGATGGAGTCTGCACAGATCTGGAAGTGGAGCCAACAAGATTTGTGTATGGGTTAGGGGTGTGTGTGTGTGTGTTTGTGAGAGAGAAAGGGAGAGAGAGAGAGAGAGACTGATCTCAGCGGCTGGAAGAATGGAGCTAGTATACAATGAAATGGGGACGTCTCAGAGGTGCTGATGTTGGGGGAAGGTCAGCGGTTGAGTGTCTCCACATTGCTTGAGATACCATCTAAATCAGTAGTTATGGTAATGCAGAGAAGAGGTAGTGAGCCTCCCTCCTTTGGAAGCGATCAAGGTAAGGCTGGTGGCTGTGGTCATCCATTGCACAAGGGGCTCCCAGGCAGGTCTGGAGACAGGATACTGAGAGGTTCAGTTTTTTATCGTTCCATGTGGGGTCTGCAGACTGGAACTGCTGGTGTAGCCCCCACTGTGCCCGGCCTCGTCTCCGCACTGATGCTATTGCCTGTGGCAGGAGCCAGCCCTTCGCCATGGCTTCCCTCCCCCTCAGTCCACTGGCCTGTGAGCTGCAGCCAGTCCTGGCTCAGGAGAGGCCTTAATGTCCCCTGCACACTCATCTCTCTGAGGTGCCTCAGTGGAGGCTCTGAGGTCCCTGGGGCCTGGAATGGGCAGGACGGGCACAGGGTCCTGGCTCCTGAAGCCTGTGATTAAATGATTATTTTCCAGCTAGACACTGATGCCGCCCACACCTCAGAGCTGCACACGTGACCACATTGGCCAATCAGAGTAAACCCCAGGATTTTTGCTGAAACCACCGGGAAGAGTCCTCTTTTCCCATGGGGTCAGGAAGCTAAGGAAGGGAGCTTGGAGCTGCTGGAAGTTGTCTTCGCCACCTCCCCAGGGGAAAGGTTTTTATGAGGTGGTGCCAGCTTAGAGGAAATCAGAGCAGACACACAGAGAGGCTGAGCCCTGAGGACATCCCAAGCCCAGGGTCCAGCTCCGTCAGATCTGCTGCAGATTTTCAGTTTTTGAGACCACTCATCATCTTTAAGGCTCAGACCAGTTTGAGTGGGAATCTGTTGTTTGCAATGGAAATAATTCAGACCGATGCACAAAGAAAACCCTGCACCACGCTTGATGGGTGAACTAGGGCCTTCGTGGTCACTGACTTCCCCTCCTGCAGCTCCGCCACTGCTGTGGGTGCCCTGCCCTGGCCATGCATGTGAACTTGGCCTCTTGCCTGGTCCCCACCCCTCCATCGGCTGCAGTCTTTCCTGGGCCCAGGGCTCCCTTATTTCAGTAGCTGCTGCCCCTTCCTGGTCAGAGTTGCTCAGTTTTTTATCTCTGATGTCTGCAGCTACTCTCTGGGCCCTGACCACCTTCCATGTTCTTTCCCAACTCTGGCAGATGCTTCAGTTGCCCACCAGGAGCCAATTCATGTTCCCTTGCAGGGAAATGGACAAGGGACCTGCTGCTGGCTTATACGAGGAAAGGCCGTCTCACCTGGGGGCTTTGGGGAAAAGTTTGCTTTCAGATGGAGAAAGAGATGGAGCCTCTCAAGGAGAAAGCATTTCCCTCTGGTGCTTCCCTTCTTTGTGCCTGCAGCTTCAAGGACCACAGAGGGCCAAGTGCAGGAGTAAGAGGCTGGCGTGCTGACAGTGGCCAAGGGCATTGGAGGGAAGGACCTGTCATCACTGGGCCAAGGAAGGAACTCCAGACTGCCTACTTCCAGAGGGCCTGCTGAGTAAGCCACACACATCCTTGTGGTTTAAACAACTGTTCACCCAGCATCTTGTCATTTATAGCCAAAAGCAATCCTACCTAATACACTAGCCAAACACCCATGGGCTCACCCAAACATTCAGCAAACACTAAATCAATGTTCGCTGAGTATTCCCTGCATCCGGACACTTTATCACATTTAATTTAACCCACCTAACAACTTGAAGATCCAAATTATTATCCCTATGTTAAAGATAAGGAAGGTGGGTGTGATAGAGCAGCCCTAGTGGCTGCAGAAAAAAGACAACCCCAAATCTCAGTGGCGTCACACAATAGATGATGCTATTTCTCACTCATGTAAAGTTTCACTGTGACTAAGATAGGGGCTCCATGCAGTCATTCAGAGACCCAGGATGATGGAGGTTTTACCACCGTCAACATGGGGCTTGTAAGTCACTCTAGGTGTTAACATCTGACTGGCAGATATGGGAAGAAAATATGTGGAGGATCACACGAGAGCCTTCATGATCCAGATCCGAGTGTGTGAGCATCATTTTCACCACAATCATTGGCTGGACAGAACTCAGCCACATGGCCACACCCCAGGGCAAGGAGGGCTGGGAATGATGCCCAGGCATTCCTCCTGGCCCCAGAGGAAAGGGCAGTGAGTTGCTGAACAATTAGCTAATCTCTGCCACCAGGGCTCAGGGGGCTGAAGAACTGACCCACAAGACTCTCAGATGGGCGAAGTGGGACTCTGTGCCTGCTTTGTTTTCTCAGGTGTCCGGAAGTCCAGGGCTGTGCTCAGAATAGCGTCAGAGCTTGGCTGAGCCAGGCACAAGCCAGAGCTGGTACTTAGCAGGGGCGTAAGTCCCCCTGGCATCCTCTCTGTGACTGGGCCATACTCCTTCTCTTGCTTTCATCCCTGTGTTCTAGGGGCTCGACTTACATAGCAGGGGTGGTGCACAGCAGACTGGAGAAGACAGGACCCTGGACCAGCTCTGCATCCTAACTGTGGGGCTTTGGGCAGGTCACTTGATCTCTCTGTGCCTCAGCTTCCTCGTCTGTGGAGGGCACTAACACTACTTCCCTCACAGGGTTGCTGGGCCCTGGGCGAGTGATGTACAGAAAGCATTCAGTGCCATGCAGGGCAGTGGCACCGGGTGTTAGCTGGGTTTCACTCCCACGGAGTCCTCCCGGCTCCTCATTGTCCTGTGTTACAGATGAGGAAATGGAGGCTCAGAGGGAAAGTCGGGTGCCTGCCCCTCCTGCCACTCCACCTTTCATCTCCATGAGAGTTTCTGATAGGGAGCGGTTTGGGGGTCGCAGGGACCACACCTTGCGGGCTGCGGGCTGTGGGCTGTGGCAAGGTCCCCCCAGCAACCTCGGTTCCTGACTTCCCCACAATGCCTGGCCTCCTCCCTCCCCCAGCGCACTCACACCGCAGGCCTGACGTGCTGGAGTCTGTCACTGGCGTGCAAAACCCACAGAGCTTTCTCATTTCTGCTCTGGTGGAACAAAAGCCCCTGCAGCTGAGCTTAGTCAGTGGAGGCCTCAGGATGTTTCCGTGTGGAGAGATAAGGCCCAGTGGAGTGCTAAAGCCGAGCCCTGAAGCGTAGGCCTGTTAGGGACCCAGAAGAGCCTGAGCCTCTGGGGTGCAGTTTCCTAAATCCCAGCTCCTGAATGTTTACCTTCTTCACGCAGGTTCCCAGCAATCCATGCACCTTTTCCTGGGCCCCTCTTCCTCCTCCCTCCTCTTGACTCAGTGAGTTTTTACTGAGCAACTACTGTGTGTCAGGCATTGTTCAAGGTCTGGGGGCACAGCAATGAATAAGGCAGACACAATCCCTGCCCTCAGGAGCTGGCATGCCAGGGCCGAGGCAGACGCAGGTGGATGCAGGGTGTGCGAGAAGGCACCAAGAGCTAAGGAGAAAAATGGAGCTGGGGAGGGACAGGCACCATGGGGTGGGGGCAGGAAGAGCTGCAGTCTAAAATAAGGTGCTGAGGAAGGTAGGAAGGTGAGGAGTCGAGCCTTGGGGCAATCTAGGGGAAAGGTGTTTCAGGCATTTCAGGCCAAGGGAATAGCCGATGCAAAGGCCTGGGCCTGCCATGCCTGTTGAGGAACAGCGAGGAGACCAGTGTGGCAAACACAGGGAGCAGGGCTGGGGTGGGGCCAGGAGGGCTGAGAGGTCACAGGTGGGGCTGGACAGGCCAGGCAGGGCTGAGTGCACTGAGTGTGCTGGGAAGGACAGGAGACATAGGATGGGAAACAGCTTAGCAGTGAACGGAACACACGAATGCCTGGTCCATAGAGTTCACAGTCTAGAGGGGAAGAGAGAGAAGAAATGAAATAAAAAGAACACGACACATCATGGGAAAAGGTGATAAAGCAGGGAATGGGAGTCGGGAGTGCCCAGGGGGAGGGGGCTTCCCGGGGGAGTAGGTGGTGGGGCAGGGCCTCGCTGAGCAGAGACGCCAGAGCCGAAGAGTGCTCTGTGGATACTTAGGGAAGAACATTCCAGACAAAGGGAGCTGCAGGGCCAGGGCCCTGGGTGGGAGCCTGCCATTATTGCTGCTGTCTCTTGTGGTCTCGTTATTCATAAAGCAGGGATCTCTTGATAAAATGGATGCAAAAGTCTTGAAAACTAACAAATGTTGCAAACGTTTGTGAGTCACCCTTGTTGGACATGGCCTCAGCAAGCTATTGCCACAATAATGCTGTTTAACAAACCACCATGAGACTCGGTGGCCTACAACAATCTCGTTTATTCTTCTCTCACATTTGCCCGGTCAGCAGGCATTCAGGGGCCGAGACTGGGCTCGGTGGGGCTGGACCCCAACACTTGAGCTGGGGGCCGCACCCCCAGCTTTCTGTCTTTGATCTTCCTTAGAGCAGTGGCTTCGGAGGCATGTTCTTCTCATGCATAAGGGCAGAGTCAGCCAGACATGCATATTTAAGGCTTCTGCTCACATTCATGTCTGCTGATGCACCTTTGGCCAAAGCAAGACAAACCTAGCCTTGAGTGGGTAGAAAATGTGCTCTCCTCCAGGCGATACAAAGAGGGGTGAAGGACAGGGGCACTAAGGCTGAGGTCTGCCAAGCTTTTCCGAAAAGGGACAGATAGCAATTTTGGCAGTGCAGGCCATATGGTTGCTGTCTCGGTGATTCAGCCCTGCTGTGGTAGTGGTAGTGTGGAAGCAACTGTAGACATCATGTGAGCAAACAGGTGTGGCTGGGTGCCAAGAACAGTTTATTTACGGACATCAAAATTTGGATTCAATATAATTGTCTTGGGCCACAAAATACCATTCTTTTTTTGATTTTTTTTTTTTTGAGACGGAGTCTCACTCTGTCACCCAGGCTGGAGTGCAGTGGTGTGATCTCAGCTCACTGCAACCTCCGCCTCCTGGGTTAAAGCGAGTCTCCTGCCTCAGCCTCCCGAGGAGCTGGGACTACAGGCACATGCTATCACGCCCAGCGAATTTTTTTGTATTTTTAGTAGAGACGGGTTTCGCCATGATTATCTCCATCTCCTGACCTCGTGATCCTCCTGCCTCAGCCTCCCAAAGTGCTGGGATTACAGGTGTGAGCCACTGTGCCCGGCCTGACTTTTTTTTCAACTTAAAGAAAAAAGGAAAACTCATTCTTAGCTTGTATGCTGTACAGGAATCAGTGGTGGGGCATTTGGCCTGTGGGGGGTAGTTTGCCGACCTCTGCAAAATAGACCTCAGAGCTCCAGCATCTCTCAGGCCACCCCTGGAGCCTCCAGGCTGCAGGTGGAGGCACAAGATACCTGCAGAAGAGAGCTGGGAGCCTCTGCAGGGTCTAAGATCACAGCAGCCACAGCGAGTGGCAGGGGGAGGACATTTCTGAACTGATTAAAAGTCCCCTGATGAAAAGCATGTTTGGGGAGATTCGGAAGTCATTTGTGCTTCCTGGTGACAGTGGGGAGCTGGAGCTAGACCCATTTCTCAGCAGTAAAGTGGGGAGGCCCCACAGGACTGGTGTGAGACTCAGATAAGACCATGGCCATGCAGGGGCTCGAAAGACAGTAAAATACCTTATGGATATGAGCACGTATTATGTTTCTTAAGGTTCCGCTAACTGTGGTTTTCTCTCTCTCTCTCTCTCTCTCTCTCTCTCTCTCTCTCTCTGTGTGTGTGTGTGTGTGTGTGTGTGTGTGTGTGTGTGTCCTTTCCCACTGCAGGGAATTTTAGCTTGAACTTGCCTGCCTTGACTAGGGCTTTCTGAGCAGCAGATGATTCTGCAATGGTGTTAGTCCAGGCCTGGTTCTGCATGACATTGACCATACTGTGCACCCTGGGGTCATTATGTCTTGGGCTTCAAGGGGCTCCATGGGCTCCAGGGGGCTCCATGTGACACTGCACAGAGCTCTCTCTAGGTCACCTGGATGTGTCTCTTCCTAGGAACCCCAAAGAGCTCTCTCAACAAACACACCCACGAGTTCCAGGAGTGAGGCTGCAGGGAACAGCCTCACTCTCAGAGGGGATACAGAATTGTTCCACTGGACAAGGGCTGGGATCGTCATAGGATGCCGTTGGCCTGTGGTTTCCAACAGAGGTGCAGTTCATTGAACTGTGGTCTACAGTCCATTCTCTAACTTGGGGACCCTTGAAGAAGTGTGGAATCATGACAACAACCCTGTTGGGAGACACTATTATTCCCATCACATGGATGAGCACACGGAGGCAAAAGGAAGTTATATGATTGTCTGAGATCACCCAGTGAAGACTGTGTGGCTGGGAGTTGTCCCCAGTGTTATCTGCACGCTGCTTCCTTTTGATGCCTGGCCCTTCTTTATCAAAAGAAGCATTGGCAGAATCTGGGTGTTTATGGGTCAGCTCAAAATAAATTACTTTATATGTCATTCATATTGTTCTTCATTTCCTGGACAGTAGAAGTCCCCTCCACACCCACTTTCTGTTGTTAGAAGGGGCTTGTCTCATTGTGAAGAGGTCTTTTCCTCCCGGCTTCCTGGGCTGATGTAAATACCCAGAAGAGAACTCCTCCCTTGTCTGGCAGACCATTGAGGGTGGGAGAGTCGGGTCTGGACCCTGGCGGGTACAGTGGGATAGAGAGTGGCAGCTGTGAGGCCTTGTCCTCTTCCTGGAGATGCTTCTTGTGTAGGCCTGGCTTCCAGGGGGCCAGGTGCTGCAGGCCGAAGGCGGAGCTGCCTTGAGCCCCCAGACCAGGCTGAGTCTGCTCTGAGCTGAGTCTATGCCATTCAGAGGTTGGCTGGTATACAAACAGCTCCCGGCTCAGGGACAGTCCCAGGGCCCAGCCCAGAGGCTTTCTTAGCCGGGCTGTCTTCTGAGGGGCCTATCTGCCAGGACACTCAGTGTAGCAAGCTCCAGCAAGAGGACACTTTCTCACCACCCAGGGGAAGGGGGCCTTGGGTTGACACAAATAAATCTTACATTTATCAGCAAAATGTGCATTATTTTCTTATTGTTCGAAAACAATTTAGCTGGTAACTATTCTGCCATTTTGCTTATGAAAACATTTAAAACAGAGAAGAATGGGAGGACTAATTGGAAGAAATCGGAATGACTTGCACCTGGATTCAATAATAGTTAAAATTTTTGTATAGTTGCTCCATCTCTTTTCCTCTCTTTATGCATTTTCTCTGTGCGGAACTCTTTGAAAGTAAGTAACAGACATCACAAGGGGACACCCTAAATCCTGCAGCCTGCTTCTTTGAAGAGCGCGTTTTGATCACCCGGAGACCTTCATGAATCTCCAAATTTGCAAACATGCTGTCCTGGGCGTCTGTTGTTTTGCCAGCAGCACAATCCCCTTCAGCTTTCCTTTGGAGAACAAAGTCAGTCTGTGCGGCGTGTGGGGGATGACACCTGCGTCCCCTAGGCCTGGCAGGCTCAGTGGCCCAGTGCCAGCTGACCTCAGGATGCTGCTGGAAGTGGCGAGGTTCCCAGCTGGCTGCATGTGGGTCAGAGCTGCCTGTCTTGCAAGCGTGAGGGGGACCCGCCTGGGGTTGTGGCCACACTCAGGAAAGTAGAACCAATCAGCAGCAGCCAGGGCCAGCCAGGCCCCACGGGAAGGGATTCACTACTTTTTGTTTTGCGAAACCGGTTTGAGTTGGGTTTTTGTCGCTTGCAAGTTGTAAATGACATGATCTTAGCAACTGATTCTCCCATATAATGTCCTCAGTTATGTAAAAATGTTAAATTAATGAGGTGATCAGTTCAAGACTAAAGTAATTTGTGAGAGCATTAAAACAAACTTGGCCGTTAGAGTCAGCTCTCCACTTAGTTACTTTGTGCTGTTATTTTGGTAACCATGGGCTATGAACTCACCTAATCTATAGAGCCCGCCGATGGTGAATGACACAGTCCTCATTTACTTTGTGAGAAGGGCTGTGTTGGTGAGGATGTGGGGGGAAGTGGCCCCAGTGGAGACAGGGGTTCTGAGGGGTCAGCGGGGTACAGGCTCTGGCCAGGGCAGGGGCCTGGGTGGAGCTCCTCACATTCAGGCCTCCGCGACTGCCAAGGAAGTTGCCGCTAGGGAGCTTGGAGTGTTTTATCAATAATAAAAGTTGCCAGTGGTCTACATGAATCCACTAAGACCTCTGCCCCCTGCTTAGAAAGATTCATCAGAAAAGAAAATTAAGAACAGAGATGACATGGAAGATGGGTGGGAGGCCATTCTAGCGGGAGAGAACCATGTGAGCATGGCCATCAGGTGGCCAACGCAGAGAACCTTTCTGTAGCCCTTAGCTTGGCTGAGCCTGAGATTCATTTCTGTGAAATGGGCCCAGGAGACCACTAGGACTGCCCATTCCACATGCTCGGGACCTCTTGAAGGACGGTCTAGCCCCAGATGTCTCCTAAGAGTAAGGGTGCTCCCCTTCATGCAGCGGACTCCTAAGATCCCAAAGAGGAGAATCTGAGAACTTCATGTCCCCAGTTCTGCAGGTGCCACCGGGAGAGGGACATCTGCGGTGTGGGTTGGCCCCCCTTCCGCTCCCCACGGCCTACCTGGAGATTTTTTCTCTTATTATAATAGTCTGTCTGCGTTTAAAAAATTAAAGAGCCCTCAATTTTAAGTGGAAAGACCTTCACATTTACAGTTTTTTTCATTAGATTTGCAGGAAGTTTTTCTATTTTATTAGTTTTTTTCAAAGAACCAGGTCTGGTATTTATTTGTTATTTTCACTGCTTTCATGTTCTCTAATTTATTTATCTGCTTTTATCTTTAGGATTTTCTTTCTCCTATTTTTCTTCAGGTTTGTTCTTTTCTTAAAAATCCGAGGTTGAAAGCCTCATCTCTTCACGTTCTCTTTGCGTGTGTGAGCTGGTTTGACAATAAACACGTTTAAAGTTATGGGCGAGCCTCTGAGGCTGGCGAGGACCGTCCTGTGGGTTTTGATATGTAGGTTTGATTTTCATTGTTTCTGGGTTATCAGTTACTGTGTACTTGATTTCCTCCTTGACCTAGATGTTATTTAGGAGAGTAGTTTTAAATCTCTACTTTTCTTTCTATTTTTAGAAAGTATTTCTAGCTTTATTATATTGTGGTCAAGACTGTGGTCTCTAAAAGATCTGTTTGAAAAATCTTTTTGACATATTCACCGGGACTGATGATATGATCAGCTTTTAACGATGTTCCCTGAACCTTCCCACCAATGGCACATTCTCTGTTTGTTGGGTAAAATGATAAATGCTCACGTATTAATTCTATCTTCTCAATGACATAGTTCATATCCTCTGTGCTTATTTTTTGCTTACTTAATATTCCATAAATGAGTATTAGTGAATTAAAATGTCATGTCTTCTCTCCTTTTATCTCTAACATTTAAAAATGAGTTTTGTGGTTTGGTCTATGAAAGTGTGAGGAAAAGGAACATCAGGATTCACTGAGCCTTTCTTTGATGACCTGAGTGTGGCCTCTGGAGCTGGGCTGCTGGGGCCTCCCGTCCCACTCAGGGCCGCTGTGGAGCTTCCCTGCCTCAGTTTCCTCGTCTCTACAATGGGGCTTGGAGCCATGTTCACTGAGGAGGCTCTTGTCAGGAGATAAGCGCACGCGTGGGGCACAGGAAGCACAGTGCCTGGCTCGCAGAAAATGCTCGAGAGCTGAATACTGGTGCTGCTGTTTTAGTGTTTGTTGGTGTCATGATACAGTGAGCCCCTGGACCACACTTACTGTGTTGGCTTCGTCTGATGTTAGCGCTGCCATCCCTGCTTTCCTTTGTTCAAGTTTAAATTAAACACACACACATACATGCACATGCACACGCGTGCACACAGAGTCCTCCCCACTGTTACATTCCCTTTCTCATGCTTCGTCCACTTGACATGGAGGCCTGAGCCACATCCTCCCCTTCTGAACTCTCCATCAGGCTCTGTCATCCTGCGCCCTCCTAACCTCAGGAGAAGGCTCCCTCGGGCCCACCAGCTGCCCCCGGCAGCTCCTCGTCTCACCCTGCACCAGCGTGGTGTCGCCAGGCACCTTCCATGCTCTCTCTGCCTTTGATTCCTTGCTGAAACATGCTGTTTCAGGCTATTTCTCTTCATCTTCATGACGTCTCTCCTTTCCAGTGAAGCTGCGCTAGTCCGGAGGTGTCTACCTCCTGCCAAACCTCCAGGAAAGTTTCCATCTTAGCAGAGGCAGATCGAAGCACCTGTGTTGTTCTAGACTTCTGATCTCTGCTCGAGGGGCTGTCTCCGGGGCTGAGATAATTCCTGCTGGATCCAAGGAGCCCTCTGGCTTCATGTTTGCTTCAGCTGCTGCAGGACTTAAAGCCAGAATCACACCAGTTGTGGGAGACAGGCCCTACTTTTCTCCCTTCCCTCTTTCCCTCCTTCCCTCCTTCCTCCCTTCTCTCCTTCCTCCTTTCCCATTCCCTCCTTCCCTTCCCCCTCCCCTTCCCACCTTCCTCCTCTTCTCTCCCTTCCTTCCTCACTTGCCTCTTTTCTCCTTCTCTCCCTCCATTCCTCTTTCCTACTCTTTTAAAGCGTCTACTATGTGGCATCAGGCACTGCACTAGGCACGGAGATAAAGAATGAATAAACCAGATGTGGTCTGTGTCAGAACGACTGCTGTGACAATGATAAGCCCCATCAAGTACGGGCAGCAGGGCAGAGAATTGGAACAGCCATGTTGGAAAACTGCTTGGCAGTCCACTGTTGAAGGGTGAACACACTTTTATCCTCTGGCCTAGTGATTCCATGCTTGAGTCTACGTGAAGCAGAAATGTCCACATATGTTTTCCAAAAGACATGTACAAGAATGCACATAGTGGTGTTATTCAAACAACCCCAACCAGAAACAACTCACATGTCCCTTGACATAGACTAAATAGATAAATGTGGGAAATCCCCCTGTGGGGCATGACATAGCATGAGAAGAAGCAGGGGCAGTCACAGGCAACACCACCATTGGGTCTCACAGGTCCGGGCATCTGTCCAACAGAAGATCACAGAGATATGATTCTATGTACATACAACTCAAAACCAGCAAAATGGAGCTAGACTGTTGGAAGTCAGGCTAGTGGTCCCCCTTCAGTGGGAGGGTGACATGGCATGTTGCTGGGAAATGGCTGGGTTTCATGTCTTGACCTAGGCACCCCTTATGCAGGTGTGCGCACTGTGTGGGAATTCAGTGAGCTGTGCACTGAGGGCTTGTGCGTGTGTCTCTAAGCGTGGTAGACTTATAAAATGAAATAAAATGAAATATAAAATAAAGTGAAATAAAATAAAAGGAAGTGCTTCCTGTGCTCTTGGAGCTGGTAGTCTTATGTGAGGAGACAGGTATCAATCAAATAACTGCACAGACAGCTGCCAGAAGCACTGACTTCGAGACCCTGATGAAAGCGAGATGGCTTCCCAAGGAAGCAGTAGCCCAGCTTCCCTCCAAGGACAAAGAGGAGTTCACGAGGTAGGTGGTGGGTGGAGTGGGTGAGGGAAGAAGGAACATCCTAGGAGCAACCTTCTTACCAAAGCCCATGGTGGGTGGGGCTTGGTGGGTCAGAGGCTAGGGCTCCCGGGTGTGCCCATGGGGTGGGCGTGGGGTGCAGCTGCAGATGGGGCTGGGCCTTATGGGTTCCTGTGGACTATGGGAACGGTTTTTGTTTTTTTTGTGTGTGTGTGTGTGTGTGAGTGATGGGAAGCCTTGAGGAGCTTTAAGTAGGACGTGTGTGTGTGTGTGTGTGTGTGTGTGTGTGTCGGGGGTCCTTGGGGTGGGTTCAAAACCCCAGGTTTCTCTATCAGCCCCACTCTGGGGATCCTTCCAAGTTGCTCCTCAGCTCCCCGCCAGGGAATCAGCTCTTGAAGTCTAATAAGCAGATGGGCCAGTCTACCTCTACCCACCCTGACCCCAGTGGACCTGGCCCCTGGCAAATGCATCTGGTTCCATCCAGAAGGGACCCTGTGAGTGGTTGTGTCCCCCCAACATGCCTCCCACAGGCACCCCAACTCACTCTGCCCCTGTGGTTAGGGCCCCTTTCCCTAGTCCCTTCCTTCCCCACCCTCTCCCCAGGAACATCCTGGGGGCTCCCTGCTAGTCCCTCCTGCTGAATCAGGCCCAGGGCCCTTCTAGCTCGGCTCCTCCTGTTTTCTTCCCCTCCCCTGAGTCTCAGATAGACATCTGTTTGAAGTTTAGCTTTAAACTTTGTTTCTTGAAAAGATCTTAGAAACAAGAATCAAAATACAGTGAGAACTCCGTGTCTCTCCCACCCCGACGCCCAGCTTCCTTTCCCAGAGCCAATGGCTCTTGTCAGTTTCATGAGCATCACTCTAGATATATTTTACACACGTGCACACACACACACCCACACACGAATAGTAGCATGTCATACAGAGCACTCTGCCGCTTGCCTTTTGATCTTCATGGTCTGCATGTGGGTTATCCACATCAGCATGTACAGATCTGCTTCCTTCTTTTTAAAGTGGCTGCAGTGGACCTCGCCATATGGATGTGCTGTGTCCATGTGACCAGTCCCTGTTGAAGGACACTGAGATCATTTCTCTGTCCTCTGTCCTGCTGCACCACCACGCTGTACACACACCTCAATCCTCGAGTCCTGGTACACCTGTGGTGAACTTTCGGAAGTGATGCTGGGTCAAGGGCAAGTGTGTTTGTAAGTGGATAGAAATGTCACCCCACCTGGAGGGTGCAAGGTCTGCTCATGTGCATCCTCACTGGACAGTATATTATCCAATCTTCTGATATTCATCAATCTAATAGATGAAAATGGCATCTTGTTGCATTTGTGATATGTTATTTTAAGTGATAATAAACATCTAATATAGTTGAAAACTTTGTATTTCCTACTCCTAACATTTGCCTATTTTTTTCTAACAAAGTTTCCATTGTGTTTTTTAGTGATTTGTAGAAACTCTTTATATATTAAAGAAATTAGTCATTGGACTACTTCCAAGCTCACTTTATTATTCAGCAATCCTGGCAGCTTTGCATAGCAATTTTAGTTTCGTACAATTCCAACAACAGATGCTGGGGACACCTGAGGCCCTTTCTAATAGTGGGGACTCAGGAGTCCCAGCAGGGCCAAGGCCTTAGGGTCTGAATAGTAATTGTCTCTCAGAAGATCTCACTGGTGGCTTGAGTTCTTAGCTTGTGGCAAAGCTTCCACCAGCAATAAGTGCTGAAGCTAAATCCTGCCCAGGTCCTCAGATCTGACCCTTGGACTCTGACACAGCCCTGTGTGGGCTAGAAATTGCTGGGGCCCCTGGTTGACCTTCTGGTCCTGGCTCAGGTCCCTCCTGTGTGGGGACCTCCAGCCCTGCCTTCTCATCCTGGCCCTCCCTGGCTCAGGCTCTGCCAACTGACATTCCCACACTCCTGCTTGTTATTCCCCGGGCCTGGGAGAGGGTCCGGGTGGTGTTCACACCCTCACCAGCTTAGGCTGCCCCCTTAGAGGCAGGGCCTGAGCCTGGTTTATTGAGGGAGCTCTCAGGGGACCCCTGTAAGTGGAGGGAAGTGAATGTGCCGAGCAAGAATGTGGTCTCAAGTGGGGCCCGCTGGGATTGGGGCGGGGAAGCGTTCTGGAGAACAAATCTCATTGGCTCTGTCCTGCCCTGAGGCCAGGGGCCTGGGCTCCTGTGCTCTGCTCAGTCAGAACAGCCAGCTTTGCTCTCCACCTCCGGGGGTGGATGGGAGGGTGGGCGTAACCTCCCAGGTGTCTCCACCAGGTGGCACTCATTGGTCAAGGTAAATTCTCGGCATAAGGTCACAGGTGTAAGCCAGGGAGCACTGGGGACCCTGCACCAGCCCCTAAGGGCGCTTTCCTTAAACCAGACACAACTCAGCTCTGCAGCTGATGCAGTGGAGAATCTCCATGAAGGAATGGGGTGGGGCCCTGTCCTCCAAGATTCCTGGCCTTAAGGATCTCTCCCCAATGCCAGCCATCTCTGTCATGCCAGCCTCAAAGGAGCCCTGGGCCCTGCTCTCTGCTCAACTCTGCTTCATAACTGCAGTGCTGGGAACAAACAGTGAAGTGGATGGGCATGACACAGGGAAATAAACCCTCAAAAAACCCAGTTGGATGGCTGGGAAGACAAGCCTCTCTCCAAGGCCGAGGCCTCCGTGGACAGGGTGCCTGCAGGCCTGGACAGCTTCATTCTATACCTGCCCCACCGAGGCCGCCCCAGTTCTGCTGTGAGGACTGTGAACCCCCATCCATGGGGAGGTAGAGACAGAAAAGAACAAGTTTGATAGAGTGAGAGAAGGGGATAGAGCTCTGGAGGAAAAAAGCAGGCAGGTGTAATGAGATGCAGGGCAGGGTGGGAGGTCACGGAAGGACGGGGTGGGCAGAGACCTTCGGGAGGGCGGCCAGGTTGGCTGAGGACACCTTTAGGCAGCAGGCGAAGGCCTTAGGGTGGGGGTGCTGAGGGTGAGCATGGAGGCCGAGGGGCGGAACGGAGTGAGCACAGGAGGAGGGCAGGGCAGGGCAGGAGCTGGAGCCCAGCTCTTCCTCAGTGGGGGCCCTGGCCCGGCAGGCTCCAGCCAGACAACTACACTGGGATTGGATGCTGTCAACGCACACACGTGGTGGGACAGTGCAGTAGGGCCACCTTAAAACCCATTCCCCATCTGGAGTAAGAACCCGAGGGACCCTCTTTCAAAAACTATTTGGATTCTGTTTTCTTGGCTGCTGGACTGGTGCTGCAGACACAAAGGGTCTGCGTTAGTCAAACTCCTGGCCCCCTCCTCCTCTGCCTGCCTCCTTCCCACCAGCTTCCCCCTCCCCTACCCCCTCTTTTCCATAGGCCTTAGTGCCGGGATGGGCTGATAGGGTGCCAGCTCTCCACCTGTCAGGCCACGGATGCACCCTGCCTCTTATCCCTCTTATCCATGGAGCTAGAACCAGGCATGCTTCTTTGAGAAAAAGTAATTTATTTTCTAATTACAAAAGACAATGGGCTTAAACAAAGGGAAGGCAGCTCCACGCTCAGACAGTGGGGCCCTCTGTGGACTCTTCTCTTCCCTCACTGACCTGGGGAGGGGCGCTGGGGTCTCCGGAATGAGGAGAAGCTCACAGGCATGTCTAGAGCCTCAGGCTGGTGATTGGGAGACCCAACGGGGAGACCCCAATCCTATTCCTGGTCCTGTCACTTATTTGAGGACATAGGGATAGCTTGGGAGCTCAGTTACCTATCTGCAAAGCAGGGTCCAGAGTCTGTGGCTTGGGGGTCCTTTCAACTAGGATAATCCATACTTTTGGACATTCATTCTGGGAATCACTTAATTGTTCTTACGGATTTATTGCTCTCCCCTCCTGGTATACCTTCACCCCAAACACACACCCCATTCTTCGGTGTGAGTAGAAATAGCACCTAGATGTAAAGGCCGGACACTCTGCCACTGCCCAGGCCTTGGTCTCCTCATCTGTCCTTCCATGAAGGTTTGCTGGGCGGCCATTTGAGATAATGCAGTGGCAAGTTCCTGTCATGAAGTTGGGGGCATATAAAGTCATTGGGAAAAGGGCAGCTGGCATTTCCTTCCCTCCCTGCCTGTCTCTTTCCTCCCTCCCTCAATTTTGAGCCACAAGGCTGGGAATTCTGAGAGCCTCGAGGACATACTCAGCATTTTCAGCTGGACTTTGTTTTCATTTGTGTGTTTCTGTCATTGAATTTCCCTTTTCTCTCCCTGCCTCCCCCAGTCCCCACCTCTGTCTGACACTCTCTGCTAAACAAATGTGTGTTCAGTGTGAATCAGATGGGCTGAGTCCACTGGAAAGGGGCAGGTGGCAGAGCAATCAGAGATGACTGGAGACCTGGCCTTGCTCCCAAGGAGATTTTGCGAGCCAGGAAGGTCTGGCCCAAAGGGCGCAAGGCTTGAGGTTCAACAGCACCGGCCTGCTTCCAGCTGGGCTGGAGAGGGGACCTACAGGGGAGGGGATGTGGTGATAACCACATGGTGGGGGTGAGAGGAAGGCGCACACTGGGACCGGTCTGGAGACATTAACTCTGGTAGAATGCTTGGGCCTGAGGCGCTTTGACTCTAATTGGTCCTGCTAGGGTCACCTGCCCACCCATGAACTGAGCCCTGTGGCCAGGAGGCTCTCATTAATCAGTATCAGTGTCACCCAGTGCTCCCCACTAGGCATTGAGAGGCTGGGGATGGTGGGCACCTGCAGACCTTCCTCTATCCCCCACTTTCCTTCTTGGTCTGCCTCCCCCTCACACCTCCCTGGCAGCTCACTTCTGATGCCCTGGCTGTGTCCCGTGTTGGCCTCTGATGTGAGCTCCAGGGCTCCCTTCTGACCCCTTAGACCTTTTCTCCCCAGCTCTTGTCACCACAAGGCCTTCCCATGTTAGACCCTGAAGCGACTAATTTGGCCAAACCTGGACTGAATGCCCACCCTTGGTAAGGCTCTGTTGGTCAACTCTCTTGGTTGCAAGAGACAGAAGTCCAGCTCAAACTGGTTGAAGCAAGAAGTTATGGGAATGGGTCAGGCACTGCAAAGTCTTCAAGACTCAATATGGCTTTATTTCTTAGCTCTGTTTTTTTCAGAGTTTTCATTCTTCATTCGTTCATTCATATCTCCCCTAGTGGTAACAAAGACGGCCTGGGACACACTGCACAGACTCCTCCCAGCTGGAAGGGCTGTCAGCAGACAGTTCCTGGTCCTCCAAGGATTGCTCTGGCTAGAGAGAACTGCCTTGGCTAAGGCCACATCCTTTTTCTTGGTGGCCCAGACCCAGTGACTGATGGATGTGAGGATAAAAAGCCTTGGTCATCTCAGCCCACCTCGGTACTAGCCCCAGAGGTCCTTGTAGGGTGGCTGAGGCTGTCACTTCTCCTTCTACCTCCTCCACTTCCTTCTCCCGCCTTCCACAGGGGTCATCCCCAGGCCCCCTTTAATGAATGCTCTGCTTGCTAAAATCTGTGGCAATGTCGAGAGTCTACTTCCCAGGGCACCCAAGCTACTGCAAACCCTGATGAGCTCCTTGTCAACGTCCTACGAGCTCAGTGACCACCCCCCCGCCATGAAAAGAACGACCTGCCTCTTTCCCAAAAGTGCTGCAAAATCTAAAACGTGATACTCCTTGCCTCTGATTGGCTCTGCCTGGGCTACATAACCCCTCCTGAACCAATCGCTGTGGCCGGAGAAATGCAGCATTTTTATTGGCCAGGCCCGGGTCATATGATCAACCAAGAGCCTGGGTCCATCAGCTCACTTGAGATACTGGACTGAGGGGTCGGGGTAACTCCCCTGGGGGATGCTGAGCTGTTTCCAGATGGGGGAATGGGTGCCTGCAGAACCACAGCTGCTCTGGCACAGGAGCAGCTCAGACAGGGTGGAGGCAGGGTGTGGGGCTATGCCAAGCACTGGCAGTGTGGGGTCCCCACAGGACTCGGGGGAAGTGTCTCTTTCCTGGCCCCCAACAAGAACAGTGCAGTAGTTTGCTTCCAGTTCCCATCTTTTCAGTGTGTGCAGGGGGGATGGTTAGGCGACACACAGCCTAAACGTGAGCAAAGCCAGTGATCCTGCCACTATGGTCCTGTCCTTGAGTGGTGCCATGAGGCCAGGAAGGCAGACAGGATGATGGCGGCACCAATTCCACATCACCTGCCAGGAGGCCCCAAGCCGCCCCCTGATCAGAAGCTGCGCGTCTCCAATTAGTCGCCCAGGTGACACACACCAAATCAAAGTCGACACTCTAAATGGGCCAATCAATAGCTCCATTTTCCCCTTCCCACCCTGGTGGGGGAGGGAAAGCTCATTTATGAAACCTTTTCTTCCCCTCATCTAGCAGGCATAAGAAAGCCCAAAGAAATTTGTTTCTCAGTTGCCCTCTGAGACAGCAGGTTTTCCTCTGAAATGTTTTGGGAAACATCTGTGGGGGCAGCCAGAGTCTCATCTTCTGGCCTGAGTGCCTGTCCTCCCATGGCCCTGGGTCAGGATCATGGTGGGGGCAGAGAGGCCTGTCTACATCTCTGCTGTTAAAGCAGAGGGTGCCCCTGCTCTGCCAGGACATAGAGCCCCTGTGTCACCTCAGCCCAAGGGTAGTCCTTCCCCAGGCCCCTCACTCTGCTCCTGGGTGGGGTCAGGCCCCCGATGCCCCCAGGCCTGGGTCCTCTCCTTTCCCTTTCTCAGCCCCTCCCAGGCTGAGACAATCCTTTTGGAGACATAATGTCTGGCAAGAGCCTGCCCCTGCCCAACATGGCATCAATTCATCTTGGTTGAGTGGGTGGTGGGCTGCTCCCTTTTTCCCATGCCTCCCCTGAGCTCTGGCTCAAAAGCTTCTCCCACCTTTGACCCTCTCACCAGGTGTCCTGGAGGCACCTCAAACCCAGCAGGCTCCATACTGAGCCCAGCACCCTCCCCTACACCTGCTTCTCCTCTGTGTTCTCACCTTGGGGAGAGCCCCAGGTTCTACCTGGTCACAGGGGCCAAGAATCTGAATCTGATCTGTGACTTGTCCCTGGTCCCTCTCCATCACTCACCTGGTGTTTGCCATTCTCTCTCCTGCCTCCTCCATATTCCTGTGGCTACCTCTTGTTTCAAGTCGTCACCCTCTACCTGGACCACAGCCATGCTCCTGACTGTGACAATCAATCACTCTCCAGACCTCTGGCCCCCACATTCAGCTCCCACCTGTGCCACCAAAACATTCCCCAAACCCTAACTGTAACCATGTTGCCACCTATTCAAGACCACCCCTGCTTCCTCGTCCTGCTCCATCTCAACCTGCACCCAGCCCTGCTTGTGACACTCCTGACAGAGAATGGCTTTGCCTTCCATGTCGACCCCTCCAGCCTTTGCTTGTGTCATTTCTTCTGCTAGGAATTCCCTTCTCATTTCTGGTGGTCTGCCCCTCTTCCCCATCTAAGCTTTCCTGGACTACCTCTTCTGGCTCCCACAGCCTCCTGGACCTGCCTCCTTCTCGGAACTGACCACAGAGACTCGCAACTACTCCCACCTGCCTCCCAAGACTGAGATCCTGGGATGTCCCCTTCCTCTCCGCCTTCTTGGCAGCAGCCCGCACAGAGCAGTCCATGCAGGACTTGGTCTACATTTGTGGGCAGCAGTGAAGCTGAAGCTTCTCCCTAATGGGGATGCTGGGGTCACCCAGTCATGTTCACTGCAGAGCAAGTTCTCCTGTTGGGTCCAGCTCGCCCACATCCAGGGACCTGGCCTGCAGCTTGGGAGGTTCTAGCCTCCAGGTGACCTGGGATTGTAGCCACAGAGAGCCTCTGGTGGTCTGGGCCCTTCTGCCCCAGAGGAACCCACCCTGGACTGGAGGCGGCCCCCACCCCCTGCCTAATTAACATCCAGAGCGGCTGTCTGCTTCTTTGCTCCATCTCATCTCCAACATTTTTCATGTCTAATCCACCGAGGAGATCTCCTGAAGGCTTTGAAGTCTCTGGGCGCGTGAATAAAGATGTCACCCTGGCACTCGCCGTGCTTCTTAATGAGCATGGGTTTGATGTGGAAGCCGCAGCCCTGGAAGGAAGCAGTCCGCCCCCAGCTGCCACCGCCCCCATTGCATCAGGGCGGCCAGGCCTGCCTGCAGCAGGCGAGCGGGGGTGGGGCTGGGAGAGCCTAGGTTTGAAGCCAGAGCTAGTTAAGGGAGTCTGGGCCAGGCAAGCTGCAGGAGGAAGGGGAGGTGGATGGCACTTATGATTCCCTCCTCTGCCCTCCCTGGCCAGGGACCCCCATGCCCCGTGCCCAAATTCAGGGACCCAGATCAGGCAGGGAGAGTTGGCTTAGGTGAGAGTGCAGGTCAGGGAAAGACGAGGGCAGAAGAAAGTGCCTGGGGATGGGAGGAGAACATGCCTGGTTGGGGGATCAGGGAGGAGGTGGCACCTGCAGTGGGCCTGGGTCGAGGCAGTGGGAGGTTCTTCCCAGGAGTGGCTGGCTCCACTGGCCCTCCATCTCTAGGAACTCCCACCAGCACTCTCACCTCTGTGCCTGAAGACAAGGGGCTCTAAAGCAGTGGATGGGAGCCAGGCTGGCGCCGGGCTCGCTGGGATGAATCCCCTCCATTGCCTGGATGAGGCAGGAGCCTCTCTGTGCCTCAGTTTCCTTATCTGGAATGTGGGGCTGATACTAGGCTCTACCTTGTGGGGGTGTTGGATGACTAGTGAGGCCATTATGTAAAGGACTAGAAATGCCAGATGTATATCACTTCTAACAGTATTACTGGAAGAATGTATCTGGGAGGCCAGGCCTGTGTGGGCCCTGGACCCCATCCTGCTTCCTCAGCCCTTGTCATCTGGTTACTGGCTGTGCCCCTGGTTGGGTCCTGTCATCAGTTGACTTGGAGCATCATGGGTATAAGGACACCACCCTGAGTCCTGCTGAGCAGGGGTCCCATATTCCTGCTGGTGAAGTTGGCCTCGGGGACATCCTCACTTTCTCTTGGAGACACCTGCACCTGCACCCCTCAGCCCCTGCAACCTGCACCCCTCTGCCCCTGCAGCCTGGACCCCTGGCTGCTCCTTTCAGTCTAGTGTTGCAGCATTTAGTAAGCACTTACCTCGGGCTCGGACCCTTCACATGGGTGACCCCAGTTGCCCCCTCACAACCCAAGGGGCAGACACTGCTCTTAGGCCCATTTTATAGAGATTTCAAGGGACCCCAGATGGGCTAGGGGAAGTTTCCCAAGGTTACAGGACAACTGGCAAGGGATGGAGCCAGCATCCGCTCTCTGATGGCCCAGGTCTCAGCAGTCCCAGGAATTCCAGTCCCCCCTGGTGTGGGCCTGTGCCAAAAGCCAGCTGGGCTCTTGTCTGTGCCCACTTAGGTGAGTTCAGCCTGTCTGCCAGGAGGAGTGGGGTGGGGCTCCTGGGGTACTTCCAGTTTGGGTGGTATGGACTGGTGAACCTTTACCCATGTGGGGCCTTAAGAGGCCAGCAGGGCTCAAAGGAAAAGCCCTGCCCACCCCAGCTATCTACTGGGTGGCACTTAGGGGCTCCAGGGGTCGCAAAGGAAGGTCACGTGCTTGGGCCAGCCTGGAGCCACAGGGCAGAGCCTGAGAAGCAGGGCTGGAAGAGTCCATAGCAGGGGTGCTGGGGACTGACAGGGCTGAAGACAGCCCTGGCAGTGGGTCAGCAACCTGGGGCTTGTAAACATGCGTGCAGGTAGGTCCTTCTCTATGGGCCTTGGCCAATCCTGGATGCCTGGGGGCCCCTATGTCACTCCAACCGTTTGGACTTACCTTGTTTTTGCCAGGCACTTCCCTTGATCCTCACACCAATCCTCTCAGGGAGGTATAACTGCACTCTGTTTTACTGAGGAGACAAAGCTCAAAGAGCTTAGGTGACTTGGTTGAGGCCGCACAGCACTGGTTTCCTTCCCTTCCTTGTCTCAGTTCCCATTCCCACCTGGTGCTACCTGGGCTCCCTTATAAGCGACTTGCACTTGAATCCTGGTCTCAGGATCTGCCTCTGGGGGAACCCCATCTAAGACACCTAGCACGGGCTTGGACGATCAAGAGACCCTGCTTGTGTCTTCATGAAGCTGATGCTGATTTAGTGGAATGGTAATGCTTTTCTCCTGGGGAACGTGACAGCTGGTCCTGACCACTCCCAATGCTGGCTGGGGCTGAGCTCTGTGACACCTCAAAACAGCATGGACCAGGCTCAGAGGTGGCCTGTGCATGGCACTGTTGTTCTGGGGGCACTTTTGAAGTAATTAAGCACCTGCTGTAAGCAGGAATCACATACCCTTTGATTGCTAGGGAATGACTAAGGGGTGGCTTCCTTTCTGCCGGATATAGACTACTGGGAGCGACAGGGGTGGCCCTTGGGGTATGGCTGGGGCCTGCAAGGATATCCCACCAAGGACTGCTGGCAGGCTCCACCCACTGATAGCAGAGCACTGTGCAAGGGGCCAATTCTATTCCCACATGCCCCTGTCAAGCTCACTCCCATAAGCTGCTGCACTCAAGGAAAAACCAAGAGGATTAGAAACTGAAGAAACAGAGGCAAGATGTCCATACTGCATGGTGTGGCTCTCTCTGCAGAAGGGCTGGCTGGTTATCTTTTCCCTGAGACCCCCTGGAAGGGACCTGGCTCAGCCGTCTTGGGCAGCACTATCCCTCAGTAATAATTGCCCCTGCCTCTTCCTCTGGAGAAATCAGCCCCAGCCCACTTGGCCAGCTCTTGTCCCTGCTCAGAGGCTGTCATGGCTCCCTGCGAGTGAAGGTCCTGCACCCAGGTGCAGGCTGACCTGTGGGCCTTGGCCGTGTTACCGCTCTCAGATCCCTCAAAGTCTTAAACCTGTTCAGCGCTTGCGCTCAGCCACACCTCCAGGCCTTTGCCCATGCCACTCCCCTCTGGATGGACACGCCCTCCCATTCCTCCTTGCCTAACCTCGTTGCCTGGCATTCAAGGCCTCTCTGATTGAGGCTGTGCCCACCCACCCCACCTCACATTCCTCCTCCTCCCTGCACTCTGTCTCAAACACTGAATCACTTGCAATTTCCAGAATGTGTCCCCGCCTTCTGCCATCCTGCCTTGGCACACACTCTTGGCTCTCCAGGGAGATGGACTTGTTGGCTGTAAGGCACTCTAAGATTCAGAAAGGGCTTTCCCTTTCTGTTAGTAAACGCTGCACTGACCACCCACTAGGCTGACCCCTGAGTGCCGGGCAGAGACACCCTCCCTATGCCAGCAAAACGCTCTCCGTAGGAGCTCATTCTCCCTCGAATCTCAGGGATGGCCTTGCATTCTGATGGGCGCACATGGTGATTTAGGGAAAGGGAAAGTCCACAGTCCACACTGTGGGCTCCTTGCTCCCCGAGGCATGGGCCTGGAAATGAGCCGGGGTGGCTCAGAGCCGGTGGGGAGAGGTTTCCCGCTATTCGCAGCATCTCTGGGAAGATGCCCAGAATTATCCACAGAGGGCATCAGGTGAAAGTGATGGGAAGAGTGGAACCAAGTTGGACAACACACTTCAGGATATTATCCAGGAAAACTTCCCCGACCTAGCAAGACATACCAACATCCAAATTCAGGAAATACTGAACTTGGAGCAGGCACTTTGGAGCCTGAGCAGCGAAGGGAGGGGCTTCTGATGGCAGGCTGACCTCCAGTTCAAATGGTCAAGCAAAGGACTCTGAGTCTAAGAGAACTTGGGGTGACTTAAAATGGCAAGGCAAAGCAAACCAACACAAACAACACCCCCCAACCACCACACTCACACATGCCGCGGGAAACAATGTAGTATTACGCGGGAGAGCAGGGACTCTGGAGCCAGACTGCCTGGGCTCAAATCCTGGCCTTGCCACTTATTTTTGATATGACCTTGGATAACTCATCTAACCTCGCTGTGCCTTGCTTTCCTCAAAACTGCAAAATGGAAACATGAGTAGTGGCTGCCTCATGGTTGATGTGAGGGATTCTGAGAGTTAGCGTCGGCTCTAAACACTTGTTTAGGACAGTGCTGCAGTAAAGTATTATTCCTACCACTGCAGAATGGATGGAAATGGGTCCATTCACACTGCAGAGTACTATACAGCATGTAAAAATAATGGGCCCTATCTGCGTGTGTCAATGGAGAAAGAAGTTAGCAATTTGGGCGAAAAAGCATGTTGCAAGTTAATGTATGTGATATAACATTTATGACAAAGCACAAAATAATAACATATTCTATGAAAATAGATATATATAAGCACATGCATGCACAGACATACATGCACATACACATGTATATATACATGTAAGTTAATAGGAAAAGAACTGGAAGAATACCATGTGCTGATATTTGTGGTGTTTTTGGGGAAGGTGAGGACGGCATTGGTGGTGGGTGGGGGCTGGGGAAGGTATTTGAAATTGGGGTGGTGAACAGGGGGACTTTACCTTATCTGTAATGTTCTGGTTGTTCAAAAGGAGAGTGTATAATTACTTGTTTAATAACAATTTAATTAAAAAATAGTAGTGACTATTGGAGAAGGAGCATGAGCCATGAGTCACCTGCTGTGGGTTGGTACCTGTGACCCATGGTATGGTCCTGCCTGCGGGGGAAGGATGGCAGGGCAGGGAACACACCCTAAGCTCCATGAAGAAATATCTAGTTTGAAAAGGCATTTCTGTGTGAGAGAATAATTTCATATTTGGAAAATGAAAGGGAATTAGCTACTTTTCTTGTAATATAAACAACAGGAAGTAAAGCTAAACAAAATCCTCTAGACAGTTGGGGCTTGGATTTCAAAAGAGAGAAATACCGACCGTCGCCAGGCCGTTTTTTGTTCGGCATGTGGCATGTGTTGCTTTAACCCTCAGCCGCCTCTGTGGGGTGGCATCACCTCCTTTCTGCACCACAGCCACTGAGGCTATGAGAGGGGAAGTGAGCTGAAGACAGAAGCAGGTAGTGCAGGAACTCACTTCTGGACCATGTCCACCACCGCCCCCCAAGGCCTGTGCTGGGCATCTGCACTACATCGCTGTCTCCGAAGAGGGAAGGCCAGTGGCCTGCACATTCAGCAGCAGGAGTCCATGCCTATCTCTGCTACCAGCTTCCTTTTACTATTCTCATTCTCAACAACCAGCAGAATTCCACTTTACTGAACACTTACTGTGTGCATCTCATACACATTGCAATAACCCCCTGGGCAGGTTGTAGTAGATTGATTACAGAAATAGATCCAGTTCCTCATTCCTCCCTATGACCTCACACCTTTGCCACATGATGAAGAGCCTCCCACAAAGGGGCGGGAATCCGTTGCTCCACCTTGTCTCTGCGCTGTTCCGTGACCTGCTTTGGGCAGTAGAATGTGGCCAAGTGACACTGTGCTTGTTTCCAGACTGGGCCTCAAGAGGCCTTGTCCACTTCGATGCTTGCTCTTGGGACTTCCCAGATGCCATGGGAGCCAGCCTGGGCTAGCCTGCAGGAGGATGAGAGACACGTGGCCCCAACACCACCTGCCATGTGAATGAGACGCAGCTCAGGCTGAGCTGCCAGCGGACCCAAGAAGCATGAGGAGTACATTGCTAGCTGGTTTGCAAATCCTCTGTGTTTTGCGGTAGTTTGTTAGGCGGCACTATTGGTGATAATAGATAACAGGCAGTAAGGCTTAGCCCCCTTTGACTGAGGAGAGAGCTGCATTGCAGAGAGGTTAAGTGGCCCTGAGGTGGGCGGCCAGCCTGGACTGCCACACTTTGAGCTACAGTCTTGCCTGGGGATGAGTTTTCTCCCTCTGATCAGTTCCACCTCTAGCACAGAAAATAAGGCTCTGCATCTTGCCCTGCCTCTTCCTCCTGCTGTATTCAAGGCCCCAAGGATAATTCACCTGTGAAGACACTCTGGGGAAGCCCCATCATCCCTGAGGCCCCCACTCTGAATTTCCATTCTGGGGAATGGCCCCTGCTTGATTTGATTCTGTAGGCCAGGCTGGCCCCAGGGAATCAGGTTGGCAAGAATATAGGACTTTACTGAGTAATTATAAGATTAGGCATCCCCCTTGAAATTAAATGCTACCTCTTTACCTTCCAGAGAAGAATCCCACCCCCCACCTGCTACCATGTAATTATCTGGTGAATTACTCTACGGAGGTCTCACAGTAATTATGCTAGAAGTCAAAAGCCAGCAATTCTTCCAGTCATTACAACCAAAGAATTAGCTTTCATTGTGTGAGCCTGCCGTGCCGCAGCAGCGGAGGCCAGCCCCAGAGCACTCAGTCCTCCTGCACAGGGCCGTGCCTCGCACCTTCCCTCCCACCTGCCCGAGAACAGGCTTCGTGCACAAGAGGGGAGCCCCAGGTGGAATGACTGTTTCCTCCCGGCTCCCATAACCTGCTACGGTGCTGACCTCTTAGTGTGGCAGGTGTCTACTTCCTCATTTGCTTCTATCTTGACTGTGGGTCGTGAGGGCAGGGGCTATGTTTGAGCCATCACTGCACCCATAGTCCCCAGCACAGGGCCTAGCACAGAGCAGGTGCCAGCAAATGTTTGTTGAATAAAGTTAGTGAGCATGAATGAACTTGCAAGTGTCTGGTAAAATTATTGACAAATATTCATTTCAAGCATGTTCAGATTGACATACTCACATGTCACCAAGAGACAGCAGGGTGCTAGGAGTGTGGGGCTGGGGGTTAGTGCCTGGGTCCAGCCACTCACAGGGTATGTGCCTGCTTCCTGCCTTGGTTTCCCCATCTGACCTATGGGGTGGTTGTCAGGATTACATGAACTAAACTCAGGGCTTGCTCCAGCACCTGGTACAGGTGCTAGAAAGAGTTTGCTTCTAAGATGATGGGGTGGGGTCACAGGCTGGGTTCTGACACGCTCCACTAGAGGCAGAGAAAGTGGTCTTGAATAGTCATCAGTCAGGGATGAGGATGGCCCAAGGGTGGCACCCAGAGAAAGGTGGTAAATGGGGCAAGAGGAGGATTTGGGGCTAAACATACCAGTGGAGTGCATGCCTGGGGCTGGCCTGTCACTTCCTCCAAGGGGTGCCTGGCTCATTCAGAGGGACCAGGTGGGACAGAATCTCCCCGGCCTCCACGTTCCCAGCAGAGTCTATGGCTGAGACCTCAAATGTCTGGAACCCAGCCTACTGAGAATGCAGGCAAGGCCCAATTCACAATGGTGGCAACCCACTCAAGTGCCAAGCTGGACAGTATTGGTGAAGGTCAAAGGCCAGGAGCTGGAGGAAAAGGAGAGAAACAAAGGGGAGGTGGGAATTTGGGTGGAGAACACACAGATGTAATCTGTTCCCATGTGCCAGAGCTGGCCACCCAAGTCAGAGCCCCATCTCTGTCACTGGGTGGCCATGGGCAAGTTGCTTTGCCTCTCTGAGCTCTTGGTTGAATAGCTGTGTCCAACCGTGATGGCTATAGAGAGAATTCAGGCTGTGAACGTGTGTAACATGCACACAGAAAAAATGCCCAACCAATGCTGTGCCAAAACCAAAAAGAACCAGGCATCTCCCTCCATTGCCTTGAGATTTGACTCATCAGCCTTTCTCACACTCCCTCTCCTCCTTGAAGCATCTTCTGCAGGTTCCCACTGAGACCAGCTGGGGCACCCCACATCACATATCACCAGGCATGGAGGAGGGGGCTGCCGTCAGTTCCACAGGGTCAGGGCTGCAGAGCCTGGCTGTGGAGTGAACTCCAGAAACCTGGTTTCTCTTTGCCCTTTTAGCCACAGCCCACTCCCTAAATGGGTGTGAGCAACATCTGGTGATGGCTGTTCAGACTTGTGGCAGCCTGTTGCACAGACGTGTAACTCTAGCCACAGGATTTGGTCCCCAAGGTGCATTTCTGAACAAAGAGGGACAAAGGCCTTTTAGTCCATCTAAGATCAGGTTCTCCCCCAAGGCAAGGTCTTCCCACACTGCTGTCGGTGACATTCAGGGACCTCAGCATTTTTTCTGGCTTTGTTTCTTACTGGGCTGTCCTCGAAACCCTGCCATCATGCACACACCTCCTGCCTGCATACGTTGTTCTTTCTGCCTGCTGCACTCCTGTGCTTCCTCAGAGGCCTGCACCTTTTTCTGTGGGGGCGCTGATGGCTCTGACTTCTCTGCCCCTCTGCAGGCTCTCCCCATTTGGCCAGATGCAGTGGGTAGGGACCCATCTCTGGGGGTCCAGTCTGGCACCAGGCAGGGTCCTGCCTGTGTTCTGGGCAGAACTGAATGGAGGAGGAGAGTACCTCTTTGTGTCCCTGCCTGCTCCAGCCCTGGCCCCCTCTTGCCCTCCCCCATCTCTTCACCTGTCAATCTTGTTTCCCTTCTCTCCTCCCGAGCAGGGACCCATTCTGGGCTCCCTGTGGTCTGCGAATGGCAATCTGAGGTTCCCCGCTGAGCCTCGCTCCCTTTCAATCCACTCTGCCTTCCATCGCTTCATCATTGTAGTCAGGCCGAGACATGGACTGAATGAGGCAGCCGCTCAATTCGAGCCTGGTACAAAGAGAGTATTTTGATGTTTTCATTTCTTTCTAGTTCAATAATTCGAGAAAACACATAGATTTGGTGCTGGTTCCAACAGGCTCTCTACTACTTTTTAAAACTTTATGTTGGTTAAAAAGTATATAGGAGATGGGGTGTGACTGACTGTGGGGCCCTGGGGGTGCTGCTCCGCCCAGGCAGCGGATTAGCCAGTCCTGAGGCTCCTGCTCCCCCCTGCCCTGTTGCCGCTCAGTCAAGCCGGCTAACATTCAAAGTCTGGGGAGTCTTGTCCAGGCCAGAATCAGAGTCTCAGAGAACAAAGAAACAAACCTGGAGACCCCTGCTCTAGCGGTGGCTGGCAGCCAAGGAGCTCTCCGTGGTCCTGAAAGAGGCCCGACCGACTTCCCTCTCCTCGCCCATCCTCTGTACTCGGAGAGATGGTTCCTAGCCTATCTGATGTACTGATATCCACCTTTTATTCAGTAGATGTAGGTTGAGCTCCTAACACAGGGCGTCATTGTCCCAGGGACTTGGGACCCTTCTTCCAAAGAGTGAAATAAAGCCTGTGCCTTCAAGGAGCACAGCCTAGTGTGGACGTCCAACCACCACAGTATGGCAGAAACTTTGTGATCAAGGAATGACTGCACTGTGGAGGCAACATCAGAACATCCAGCCCAGATACGGGGGGTCAGAGAAGGCTTCCCGGAGGAGGTGATATCTCAATTGATATCTAGTGGGGATTAGGATTTAGCCAAGTGAAGAGAGAAACTAAAGAGTTCCAGACAGAGGGAACAGTATGTCTAAAGGCACAAGTGAGGGTTTAGCACAGTGGTCAAGAGTGCAGGCTCTGGGGCCATTTTCCCTATTAACTAACCAGCTGTGCAACCTTAGGCAAATGACTTACCTTTCTGTGTTTTCGTTTTCCCATCTACAAAAATACTATACAATGCAGAATATTATACACGTTTATAGGGTTGTTGTGAGGATTAAATGCTTTCAATAAATGTCAAGTGCTCAGAACAGAGACTGGAATATAGCCAATATCAATGCAAGCTTGTTCTGACAGGTGCAGAGGCTCAGAGTTCAGAGCACAGTGGCTGGACCCTGGGCTATTTGGCAGTGCAGGGAGTTGGCAGGGTGGGGTTTGGGGGAGCAGTGAGGACTGAGCCTGCAGAGGTGAGTGGGGCTGGGGGAAGGAACTTGGAGTCTGTGTTGAAGTGGATCTCACTCTCAGGGCAACTGGAACCCTCAGATGGTTGGCTATGTGGAGACTGGGCTGGGTCTGTGTGTGTGTGTGTGTGTGCACGTGCATGTGTGTGTTGGGGGGTGTCTAGTGGCTGGCTGCCACCTGAGAGGAGCAGATGCTGGGATGGGGAGAAGGGGATAGTCGAGACCACTCCCCCATGTCTAGCTTTGGTAGGGGTGGGTGTTGGGGACACGGTTAGCTGCAGTCATCCATCTTTTAAGGGCGGTCTTTATTTCTCAGATCCTTTTTTTATTGGTTCCCCTTCCCCCACAATAGGTTTCCGTGAAGAAAACCCCTGTTAACAACCTAGCATGTATCCTGTATTTTCTTTTGTGTTAATAAAATCCTATAGAGGCCTATATACATATACATATATACACACAAACTCACAGATTTTTTTGCCCATTGTTTTATAAAAATGGGATCGTATGTTACATTCTTATCTCCAAATTGCTTTTCTCACCCAATAATACCTTATAGAAATCCCTTTAAGTCTATTGGTAGGCAGGTAATTAAATTTTTTATAAGTTGCATAATATTCCGCTGTGTGGCCGTCCCGCCGCCTGCCCTTCCCCACTCCCCCGTCATGTCCACCTCCCAGCTTACGCCTCGGCAGCTCGGCTTCCAGAGCCCGGAAACGGCGCGCTGCTTCGCACCTCCTCTCCGCGATGCAGCCCGTTCCCTCCGCTGCCTGACTCACACGGCTGCCTCCTACTCACTGGGGATCCATCTGCAGCTCCTTCTCCAGGGCAGCGGCCGGCAGGGCTGGCGGGAGCAGGGGGCGCAGAGAGGTCAGGGGCAGTTGAAGTGGGGCCTCGTGAGCCAGGCCGTGACGGGGCTGGGTCTTGATCCTGGATTGGGGGCCTCCCGGAAGGCTCGAAGCAGGGAGTGCTGTGTGTTAAGAAGCCCTGTAGCTGGCTGGAGACCTGGAACCTGTGCTGGTCGTCCTGTAAGGCAGGGGACCTGGGTCCCTCCGCTCCTCCCCAGGCTCCCCATCCACCCCCTCCCTCTTGGTCCCCGCTGTCTCCATTGGCTTCTCCTCCCCCGTGGTGAGCCAGGCTGTCCTGAGTGTCCAGGGGCAGACGGCCCCCGCCCACCCGCTTCCTGCGGCTCCCCCCAGGCCCTCCGGCTTCAGTCTCCACAGCTGAATCCTGCAGGAAGCCATACAGTGGGAATCTCCGGGCAGCTTCTGGTTCGCCCTCGGGTCTGAGTCACTCTCTGTGCTCTGTCTCCCCACCTCCCCACTTCCTCTCTGGCAGGCACCGATGCCTTCTGCACATTGTTCCCCGGGGAAGGGAACCACCCCTGCCTCACCTGGCGGCTTCCACTCCCGGTGGGGCCGTGGTGCCAGGGGCGGACAGTGCCATGGACAGGGTGGCTGCTTTGGTTCCCAGACTCCCTGAAGCCGCTTGTAGGGCCCTTCTAGAAAGGCCTGTCGTCGGCCCGCCCCTCCCCTGAGGTCAGAGGGCATGGGTCATCAGCAGCCCCGGGGGCTTGTCCACCAGATGCAGCAGGGTGGGGCGGAACAGGCCCTGTGTCTGTTCTAATTGCCCTGTTTCACTTCCGAGGCTACCTGGCTTTTACACCACAGGACGCTGAGTTTCTAATTACTATAGGGAAAGAGAAAAGGAGTTTTCTTTTTCAATAAGTGTATTTAAGTGGAGGAAGATCTGAAGGAAATGCCCACATGACTCTAGTGGGGCCGGGCGCCCAAAACCTGAAGGAGAGTCCGTGAAGAGGCTGGGAGGGTGCCCGCCGGCTGCTGGTGGGCCAAACCCACTTTTCTTCCCGCACTGTTTTGAAAAGCTATTGAATTGTGGGATTCCCAAGCAAACGTGAATTTTCTGGCTTCTTTTGAAAGGTCTGGACACTGGGCAAGGCTGAGAGGGGGAGCAGCGTGCCTCCCCGGCCTCCCTGCTGGGTTCACGGGGGAGAGGTTTGCAGCCCGCGGGCATCCGAGTCCTGCCCAGGCGACTGGGAGGGCCAGGCCAGAAGGGCGTCTCCTGGGGTGGGAGGCCCATGCCGGGCCGCCCCCGGGACTCACGCTGCTCCCAGGCCCTAGAGAGGGCGCCCAGCCCGAGCGCCTGGGACAGGCAGTCGCGCAGTGAGCACCTGTAGAGGCTGGGGTTTGGGCCGTGGCGCTGGCGCCGGCTCGCGGAGCTTCCCTCCCGCCCTCGCGGTCCCCTCTCGGGCTCGGTCCCTTCTCGGGCTCGGTCCCCTCTGCACAGCTAGGGGCCGCTCGGCTGCGGCGCGGCGCTCTGGGGGCGGCAGGGGGCGCTGGCGGCCCGCGGGAACCCTCTGCAGCTCAGGACAAAGGCTGCGGGTGCGGCGCCGAGCCTGCGCTATGCTGGGACCCGGCGATGCAGCCCCGACTGCAGCCCGCTCCAGCCCATCCCGACCGCCAGCGCCGTCGGTAGTCCTCTCCCCCAGCGCACACCTCCGCCTCTCCTCCGCATCCCTCCCCGGCCATCTGTTTTGCACTTCCCCTCTCCATCCCTGGGCCTCTCTGTCTTCTGTCTGCCTCTCTAACTCCAATAAGGGCTGACCCTGTCTCTGAGTGCCCCTTGGGTCCCTGGCATCTCTCTGTTTTTCCTGTTCCAACTGTTTTCTCCGGAGGTCAGTTTGCTCTTCCAGAGAGGAGGCCCTGAGACCACATTAGCAGTGATGGGACCAGCGGAGAAAAAGCACCCCGCCTCCTCCACCTTCGCCTGCCCTTTGGCCTCTGTTGCAGGCTGGGCGCCTCTGACTGCCCACAGATAGTCTTCATGTTAATGCCAGGTCTTACTGGGTTCTCCCTCTGGTCCCACCATGCCCCCTGGGTTGCCTGGGGAAAGGGGGGAGGTTGGGATCCTGGCCTGGGCTCCCTGTGGTTGCGGGCAAAGCTGGTGCTGAATGGGAATGGAAGGCATTCTGAGGCTCCGGGCTGGGCCACGGGACCTGGCCTGCCTCTGCTGTGGCCTGCCGTCCCTGCTTGCCTAAGATCTTCCCTTCCATGTTCCCAGTTCCCTACACAAATAATGAAAATGTAGGGCTCTATGACATTTTCCAACTCTGATCATCTAGACTCTAGTGACATGGATCTAAAATCCCACACTCCTGGTTATCTGACCTTCAAAGCAGGTGCTTTATCCAGTTCTTAAGACAGTACTACGGGGAAAGTGTCAGCACGCCTATTTTATAGATGAGGAAGACTGAGGCCCAGAGAGCCGAAGGAGCTGCTGCAGGGACACCAAGCCCTGTCTGACTCTCAGCCTGGACCTGCTCCCCTGAGCCAGGCTGCTGTGCAAATGGTCAGAGGGCTCCAGGCTTTAGCTGTCAGAGGTTTCTCCACCACTGGAACCTTAGAAGCACAGAGGAGCCACCCTCATATGCCATGTACTGCATGATTCCATAACTGAGAAGTCTTCCTTGTGGTTTGGATGATGTGTCGTGCCAGTTAGGAACACTGAAAAGCAGATGCCAAGATGACGGAGCAAGAAGTGCAAGGGATTTATGGCAGGAATCACCTGCAAGAAATCCAGAGGAGAAGGAGCAGGAGTGGGTGGGGATTGCCTGAGACCATACTGTGGGTTTGAGCCTTCTAAGAAGAGAGAATAAGGCAGGCAGATTGGGTAAGAAGAGTGTTAGCCTGCAGCACAGCTCTGAGAAAATCTCTCCGGCCCAGTGGGACTCCCTGATAGACTGTCCACAGAGGAGCCCCAAGCTGAGCAGGAATGCCCAGGCCCTGGTACTGCTGCCACACTGGGCTTTTGGCTAGCAGAGTGTGGCCTCAGCCTGGCTACTTGGCAGGTTTTGCAGGCACAGCAGCTGCAGGCTGTGGGCTGATTGGGTCCTCAGGGCAGCTCTCTTTGGAAGGCTGAGAAGTTGGGTGGTATGGCTCTGTGGCTGGGGGCACCCACTATTCCAGAAAGCACACAGTGCTTGGAGCCAGCCAGACTTGCCACTTTCCAGCTGGGTGATCTTGAGCAAGTCTCTGAGCCTTGATGGCCTTACCTATAAAGATGATCAGACAGTTGTCTAGAGGATCCTGTGGGTAAAGTGTCTGGCAGAAGCTTGGCAGTAGACACTTTTAAAAGGTGGCTGCTTTGAGATAATTTTTCTTTATCTGAGGAGTTGGTATATCCCCTGCCCTTCTACTCAGAGGGCTGATTAGACCCTAGGTATGACCCCATACTTTTGATTCCTCACTGGGACCATGGGACTAATACTAGTATCTTCTTCACTGGTTCATCTTCCTACCTGTTAGAGGCAATAACATTTTCCTATTGTGTTGTTGGACTGAAAATTGCATTCTTGCTATTTGCCCATTCATTCATTCACCGACTCTGGCCCAGCACATCACCCTGTTTTATCTTCTCCATCTTAAGCCATCTTGTTTATTGAAGTGTTAATTGTCCTTAAGCTCTGGGAAGACTTGGCTCTTGTCAAAACTGTTCACAGCTGTGTCTTCAGAGCCTAGCTGCAACACCTCTTTGTCGAATGAGTAAATATATTTACCAAGAGCCTACCTCTTCTCATGTAGGGGTAGCATGTGGCGCCTCACGTCTAGGTGCTCCTAGTTCAGTGGAAAGCTGGACATGGACTGGATTTTAAACACTATATTATCAGAGCTGGGGCAAAGAAGGCACGTGGGGTTTTGGCTGGGTTTGGAGAGGGCTAGGGGTGAGCACAGACTTTCATCTTTCAGAGCTATGCAGAGGGTTTCTCTAGGAGTTGCAGAGTAACAGATAGGCATGAATGAAGTGGCCAGCTGTGAGCCTCCAGGGACTGGTGGGTACCAGGATGCTCTGGGAGCTCAGGTCTTGTCCAAGAGGCCTTTAAATTACATTTTTATAGCAGCACATGCAAGCCCACAAACAAGACTGTGGCCAAACAAGGCTCTTGGGCCCCTGTTTTGCTCTTCCTGGCCTAACCCTCTGCTTCCTTTTTGGGGAAGAGGTGGGAGCAGTGTGTAGAGTGTGTGTGCCCTGGGCTGGTACACAGCACATATTCACTCATTAGACGCCCCTTCAACCAACTCTGAGTAATCCATAGTATTGATCATGTGGGCCAGATGCAGAATCAGTAATGCAGAGAGGTTCCACAGCTCCTCAAGGTGCTCAGTAAGGAAGAGGTCTAGCGGAGATCTGATCTGAGAACTGGCCGAGTTCAGAAGTGGTGCTTCGATCATTGCAGGGTAGTGCCCAAACATTTCCCTGTGGCGCTCCACCAAGTTGCCTTTCCCCACCGAGAGGCTGTGAGGGCACATCCAGCCAGGGCTGGAGCCTTCTGCAAGCTGCCTTGCCTGCTTCAGGCCCTCTTCCCAGCTCCGTCCTGGGACAAGTTTTGATTGTCGGCAAAGGCCTTTGGTGCCTGTGCCTCACAGCTGAGCCTCCACAGATGGTTGCTCAGGGAGGACTGTGCCTATATGTTCTGATTACCAAGGGACAGATCCCCAGCCTCAGAAGAGGGTCTCCCCAGGCCCCTTGTCCCAGGCAAGGCCCCCTGGCAGGCAACACTTGCAAACACAGCAGCCCTGCAGGGCGGGCAGCGGCCCAGATGGCCTGACATGCTGATATGTGCAAGGAATGCAGGGCTTTTGTCTTTTGTTCCCTGGTCAACCAGCTGCTGCCTGAAGGCCACATGGAGCCTGCGGGCATCAGCTGAGCCTTGGTTCCATTGCCTATGCCTGGGCTACCTTCAGCAAGTCATTTAACCTCTCTGGGTCCTGGTTTCTTCATCTGAGAAATGACAGAGGGGTTTGGATGAGCTTAGGGCTTTGACATCCAGATGCTATCCTTGGACTCATGTCAGTTTCATCAGTACTCGTGTGTGTGTGTGTGTGTGTGTGTGTGTGTGTATTCTTTTTGCACCAAATCAGAGTGAAATTAGCAACATTTGGCAATTAATGCATTTTTTTTCCCCAAGACTCAACTCTTAAACAAAGTTCTG
Organism: Homo sapiens; assembly: GCF_000001405.40. NCBI lineage: Eukaryota > Metazoa > Chordata > Mammalia > Primates > Hominidae > Homo > Homo sapiens. The sequence goes on along the minus strand of NC_000003.12, from coordinate 127,452,066 downwards.
AGTGTTTGACTTTCATTTTAAATAGGTGGCCGTCAGGGGGAATTACATGGCTCCTAAAGAAACACACAGACATTATAATTAAAGAGATGCCAATCTTGACAGGTAGTAGGAGAGGAGAGAGGATGTGACAATGAGAATGGAGAAGGGGAGAGGGGAGCTCAGAGCCGAGCTGGACGGGATAAGCCAGGGAAGTGTCTCCACTAGGGTGGCAAGCTTGGTTTCAGCATCAGCACCCAGACTGCCACTCTGCTCATAGTGACCACAGCAAGACCCAGAAGGGGCGCCATATGGTTTGCAAGGCACTTTCACAATCTCTGTTTCTTAGGATCCCATAACATTCTAGAAATGCAAGTTAATTAATCCCATTTCGCGGGTGAAAAAAGTAAGACCAATGGTCAGTTCCCTTATTTTGGCCACAAACCAATAATGCTACAAACTGATTCTCCCCTCTAATCCCAAGTTGAGCCCTGTCCCGGGCTGAGCCCCACCCCTGCCCCACCCTTAACTCAGACTGAGCCCCCCCGCCTCCCACCACTGAGCCCTGCCCACCACCCCAGGCTGAGAGGTGCACCCAACCCAGGCTAGACCAGTTAAGCAGCAGCCAAATCCATTCCACTGGATCTAAGATAGATGGTCTCTAAAAGTGTAGATGACCCAGAGAAGCCTCCTTTTTTTTTTTTTTTTTTTTTTTTTTTTTTTTTTGGCTAGGGTCAGGGCTCAAAGCTCAGGGTCCCTGGACAGTGAGGGAGGAGTGGGTGAGGAATGGCTGGGAGAACCCTGGCCTGCCAGGAGTCAACCCAGAAAGAGAGGTTGTGAACTCTGGCGTGGAAGAGCTGATGGGGCCACCCTTGAGTAGATTCCATATGTCCAGGCCAGGTGAAGTGGACTCCTTCCCAGTTGGTGGTCTTTCCTACACACACACACACACTCACACACACACACACACACACACACTCACACACACACACACACACACACACATGCTGTCCCTACCACCTTTGGTGGCCCTGGTGGCTCCTGTGGCCTGCCTGAGGCAGGTGCCTGAGGGACTGTGCTGTCTGACTAGCCTGGGCTAGACTACCAGACTCCCCATGTGACCTTGGTTAGGTTCTTGCACCCTACACCTCATCCGTACCTCCTGGGCCTCTGGGCCGGTGTGCTGAGATCATGGGGATGAAGGGCCTCTGGCCCAGCAGGTGCTCAGCAAGGGTGAGTTTCTTTCCCTCTTCCCTTTGAATCTTGCCTCTTCCCTCAAGGCTGACTGGCCCATCCTCCCCCAACTCCCACAGTGGGCTCCCCCTCTGACAGGCACCTCATTAGCAGAATCTCTGTAAATAACGCCAACGAGTTAGAGTTACAACAAGGTAGCTCATTAAAGGCACTTCGCTTGTCTCACTTCCCAATTAGTGTTTCTGTGGGTGCAGCTGCCAGGACTGCGGTGACAGGGCACCCTCGGCATGTCATGGTGCCTGGGCAGGCCTGGGTCACCCCAGGGGAGCCAGTGTCAGCAGTCCCAGGAAGAGGGAATGGGCAGCCTGGCTCACTCCAGCTCAGCAGCCCTGCATGGTCATCCTGTGACAACTGGTAGCACACAGCATTTGCACCCACCGCGTGGAGCACCCAGCTGCTGGGGCACCCCAGAGATGGACCCAGACTTGGACTTGGTTTTGGTTGGCGAGTCCATTCCTCCATCCCAACCCTTGTATGGTCCACTTCCACTCCAGCTGACTCCATCAAAACAGACCTGTCCCATGTCCCATCTGCTCCATCTTCCTCTTATCCTCTTTCATGGGTGACCTCGAGTTTTCCACTGCAGCTCCTTGGGACCACATTCTTTCCCTTGAGTACTGAAGTCGTCGATGACAACTTCAGTATGACAACAATGGTGGGAATTTCAGGCTAAAAAGGAAGAAGACAGCATGCCAGAGAGGCCTTGGGATGCGTGGGTGATGATGTCCCCAGGACAAGCTTGCCAGGTTGCAATTTTTATCCATGTTTCTATACATAATGAAACAGGCTCATAGAGGGTCAGCCATTTGCCCCAGATCACGCAGCTGGTAGGTGCCAGTGCTGAGGCCAGGGCCGAGATCACTCTAGAGCCTGTGTTAGGAGCTGGCTACTTACCTGTGCCAGCAGGTTAATGGGAGTGGAAAGTGATTCTCTAGTCCTTCCCTCCCTCCCTGCTCCCTCAGCCTACCCCTGTTCCATCTTTTTTCCAACTAGGTTTCGATCCCCTGGCCACACTTCCTTCTGTTTTCACTTTGGGTCTGCACTTTCTCTTTTACTTTGGGAAGGAAACAGCTCCCAATTTCTCTCCCTCTTGCTGAATCGATAGCTTAGCTGGGCAAGGCAGAACATGAAATTTACATTCAATGGTTTCCATGGCAACCACCGTGCTGGACCAGTTTCTCCTGCTCTTGGGGGCACAGTCTTTTGAGAAGAGCCAGGTATCAAAAACTCAGCTCCCTGAGAATGTGGCAAGGGTTTTAAACAGAACTAGAGAGGGCTTGAGTCCCCTTGACCATCAATTTTTCTGGCTGTGTGTTACATGAGGGAAGGGAGAAGAGCCCTCCATTTCCCCAATATATCAAGGAGCAAATTGCTGGTAGCATCATCCCTCAGCCTCATCACAGCTAACACTTTGTGAGCTCTGACTACGTGCCAGGCTTTGTGCTGAATGCTAAAGCATTCTTTTCTTTCATCTTTGCTTCAAACTTAAGAGGTAGGTACTATTGTTATCCTGTTCCGCAGATGAGGAAATTGAGCCAAGGGAATATTATACACCTTACTTTAATGTCTCAAAGAGTCACAGCCTCCAGGATGGACCCTAGATTGGCTTGACTCCGGAAACTGTGGTCTTAATTATGCTGTAATGGAATCACACTGGGGACTCAGAGGTGAACAAACTCCCTTCCTGCTTTGCTGAGGTCTACAGAAAGGGCTGTAGCATCAAGGCTGAGAGCACAGGTCTGCAGCCAGGCAGCCTGGGTGCCTTTCCATATCTTGGGTGTGCCTCAGTTTTTTCCCTCTGAACTAGAGATTAGGCATAGTATCCATCTCTCAGGCGTGTTGTATGGATTAGGTGAGATAAAGCCCACAAAGCACTGGGGTGGTGCCTGGCACATGGTCAGTACTCCATAACAGTAACCACCATGTTTGCCACTGGGGTAGGAGGCGGACCAGTGGGAGTCAGCCATTCACATGGTGTCAGTGTGTCCTGGAGAGCCAGGGAGAAGCACTGGACTGTGACAGCTCAAAGGAGACAGCAGGCAAGGTCTGGGGGTCAGAGAGGCTTCCTGGAGAAGGTACAGGGAAGGCAAGGAGAGGAAGAGGAACATTTGAGGCAGAGAGATTGGCAGAGAGTAAGGAGGGAGCGTGGTACATTTGGGCAAAGACTAGCGTGGGATGGGGCTGAGACTCCGGGTGTGTGGAAGGGGCATTGTCATTCCTGCCTCCTCAGTACCTATTTCTCTTCTTAATTTTCTTTTAGGAACCCACTCTCTCTCATCCACAGTCTATGTGATTGGGGAAGGTCTGGCTCCGCCCCCTGGGTCCACGTATGGGCATATGACTGAGCCCTAGCCAATGAGAGACTTGCATCTCTCTGGCTGCATGGACACATGACTCAAGCAGAGCCAATCACAATTAATGCATGCTATGCCTGAGACTTTTGCTGGAGCTATGGGGGTGGCTTAGCTGGTAGAATGAAAGCTTCAAGCCGCAGGGCAGTGGGGGCTGTATTTTCACCTTGAGGAGAGAGCCTGCCTGAGAATGAGGCCAACAGTAGAGGGAGGTGTAGCTCAGAAGTGGCAAAAGATGAATTCCTGGCACTGTTCCTGGATCCAGCTGTGCCAGAAGTCCCAAGGCCTTTCTGGCACAGTAGCCAATAGATCACTTCCCTTTTATTTATGCCTGTGTGAGATGAGATTATGCTTTTTACCATAGCAAGAGCCCTCCTTAACGCTAGGGGAGTGACGAGCAATGGGCTGAGGGGAAGGCAGGAGAGCCAGGTCATGAAATCTTAGATGGCATACTGAAGAGCTGAAAGGTGGTGGGGAGGCTTGATTATAAGAAAACGGTTGATAGGATCGGGCTTTCGCAGGATCCTCTGACAGCAGCGGACCAAAATGACTTGCAATAGAGCTCTGGCAAGAGGCTGGTGTGGTAGGCCAGGTGGGAGAAGATGCGTCTGACCTAATGCAGAATGTGTTAGTTTCCTAGGCTGCTATAGCAAATTGCCACAAACTCCACGCTTAAAACAACACCAGCTTATTGCCTTATAGCTCTGCAGGTCGGAAGTCTGAAATGGGCCTCACTGGACTAGAATCAAGGTGTTGGCCAAGTCGCCTTCCTTTGTGGTAACTCTAGGGGAGAATCTGTTTTCATAGCTTTTCCAGCTTCTAGAGGCCACTTGCATTTCTTGGCTTGTGGCCTCTTTTCCGTCTTCAAATCTCATTACTCCAGCCTCTGCTTCCGTCATCACATCTCTTCTCCCTGATTCTGATCTTCCTGCCTCCCTCTTATAAGGACCCTTGTGGTTGCATTGAGGCCACCTGGATAACCCAGGATAAGCTCTTCATTTCAAAATCCCTGACTTAATCACATCTGCAAAATCTTGTTCGCACGTAAGTTGGTATATTCTCAGGTTCCAGGGATTAGGACACAGACATCTTTCAGCTGTTTGTTTTTTAGAGATGGGGTCTCACTCTGTCATCCAGGCTGGAGTGCAGTGGTGCAATCATAGCTCCCTGTATCCTCAAATTCCCAAGCTCAAGGGATCCTCTTGCCTCATCCTCCCTAGTAGCTGGGACTACAGGCATGCAATACCATGCCTGGTGAATATTTTTAAAACCATTTTTAGAGATGGGGCCTCACTGTGTTGCCCAGGCTGGTCTCTAGCTCCTGGCCTCAAGCGATCCTCCTGCCTCAGCCTTCCAAGTAGCTGATATTACAGACATGCACCACCACTCCAGTGTGGGCATGGACAACTTTGGTGGCTATTATTTAGCCAGTGGGGATGGAGGAGAGCTATGGATAAGAGATACAAGAAGGAGTCAGAGTGCCTGAACTTGGTGGGTGTGGGTGGTGAGGGAGTGCCTACAATTCCCAGGGCATGCATGGTGGCACCAGTCCCCCGCGTGGTCTGATGCTTTCCAACAGTGTCCCACAGTCTGGCACAGGCACAGAGCAGGCAGGCAGATGAATCCATTGAGGCTGGAGTTCTTGCCAGATGGGAGGTACAATGGCAGGATGATAGGGCAAGAGCGAGGGGGGTGGTTGAATCATGGATCCTGGAATGTAAGAGGGAAAGAGAGAAAGAGACACTTTCCTCTAACAGGTAAGAAAGTAGACCTGTCAACAGGAGAAGGAACTCACCTTTGCGGGTGACTGCTGCACACCTGGCCCTTGCTGTACCCTGGGCCTGTGTCCACTCTAGTCCATGACCCTGCCTCCTGCCGATGTGACAAGCACTTGAAGGTCAGTTGGGAGCCTCAAACTCAACAGGTCCCAAACCAAGCCCCTGACCTCTCCCCATCCTGCTTCTTCTGCAGCCTTTCCCATCATTCTTCCTTCTGACTGCTTAGGCCAAAAACCTGGTGTTATTCTTGGCTCTTTGTCTCTTATGATCCCCCACCCAGAGCTTGTCATCTCCACCTTCAAAATATTAGCAGAATCAGACCACTTCTGCTCCTTCACTCTGGACCAAGTGACATTATGTCTTGCCTGGACTGTTGTGAAAGCTCCTGAGGCATCTCCTTGCCCCTCAGTCTATTCCCTAAGCCCCATACCGATTCTCACCTTATTCGGAGTAGAATTCAGTCCCAACATTGGCCCTCAGGGCTCGACATGTTTAGGCACCTGTCGCTGCATGACTGGCTCTTGCCTCTCCTCCCACTCCTGACTCCACCCTGGCCACTGTGACTTCTTCCCTTTCCACAGGTATGTAGCCCCACCCTGCCTCAGGGCCTTGCATCCTGCTGTTCCCTCTGCCTGGGACCATCTTCTCCCAGATACTCACATAACCTGCTTCTTCACTTCACTCAGGCATTTGCTCAAGCTTACCTTCTCAGTGAAGCCTTCTCTGGGCATCCAATTTAAAAAGATAACACCACCTCCATCCCTGCATAAGGGAACGGCTCCGCCTTGGCGCCCTGCATGCAGCCACAGGGCCACGCAGCAAAGGTTCCCACCCTTGAACCACAGCCTAACCCAGCTTGGCACGACACCCTGCAGTCCTCCTGGAACACCGGAGGATGGAGGCCTCTCCCCTGGGAGGCAGTGCTGAGGCAGCTCCGCAGTGCCTCCTGGGTCCCCAGCAGAATAGAGCTGTGGAATTCAAAGCCACTTAACTGCAGTCAAGCTGTGTCAGGTTCCTCGGTGATGGGGTGTCCCACAACTCAGACCCAACTCGGACTGTGGTCGTCCAGGCCCTTGGCTTTGGTGGCATCATTTTAGGTGTGCAGGACAGGGACCCTGGACATGACACTGTCCCTGACTCTTCCTTTCATTGTCCATGCAGGTCACACACTGTCAGAATCTAAAAGTGGCTCGTTGTGTCTGCTCTGGCTGGGTCAGTCAGGGCCAGCCTGGTCTTGCTGCAAGTGCTTAACCACCACTCTTTGCTATGTTGTGTATTTTAATTATCATGTTCTGTTGTTTCTCCCTCCGTGAGGACAAGGGTTTTGTCTCCTTTTACGTGGTTCATGCCCAGTTCCCAGTCCTGGGGCTGATACACGGCAGGTACTCAGCAACTATTGAATGAATGAAGATGAGCCATCCTCAGGCCTTTTGTACATAAAGAAATCGAGGCACAGAAAGGTCACACAGCCAGTCATTGGCGCAGGTGGGATTTGAACCCAGGCAGTCCAGCTCCAGAGCCCACCCCTACGATTCACAGCTTCCCATTGGGGGAGAGTTTCTGCAAAGGGGAGGAATAGGTATGGTGGAGCTTGGATGAAAGCAATCAGGGAGAACTGGTATTTGGTTGGAGATCCAGTAGGTTTCTGGTGCTGACCCTAAAGGTGTGGCTGAGGGCCTGGGAGGCTGGGATGGAGTGGAGGATTGAGATCCTGAGAGCCCAGGGTGCTGGACTTGGCATGGGTCGTCCACTTGGTCACTGGGTCGTCAGGTGGAAGGGCTGGGGTAGGGAGGAGGCCTGCAGGCTAGGCCAGAGCCTGCAGCAGAAGGGTCTGGAGTGGGGAGCAGTGGGCCCTGGTATGGTAGGTGTGTGGTAGATTCCAGGGTGGCCACTCTAATTCTAAGTTATTTTTGGTAAGGTTATCCCATTTTTCTAAAAATGCCTAAGTCTTGGATTCATAATTTTTACACAGAACATTTGCTGGAGTCCCAGAAGCTAGATTTCCAGACTCCTGCAATTCTAATGAACCCACCATCAAAAGATGCCTAAGTGGCCAGGCATGGTGGCTCATGCCTGTAATCCTAGCACTTTGGGAGGCTGATGGGGGTGGATCACCTGAGGTCAGGAGTTCAAGACCAGCCTGGCCAACATGGCGAAACACTGTCTCTACTAAAAATACAAAAATTAGCTGGGTGTGGTGGCAGCATGGGTCTGTAATCTCAGCTAGTTGGGAGGCTGAGGCAGGAGAATCGCTTGAACCTGGGAGGCGGAGGTTGCAGTGACCTGAGATTGCGCCACTGCACTCCAGACTGGGCGACAGAGCGAGACTCCATCTCAAAATAAAATAAAAAAAAAAGTGCCTATGCAAGGCTGCTAACTGGGAGAGTGGAGAGGGGGACATGGAGGTGAGATGGCCGTCAGTGCGTCCATCTTCAGCTGTGATTGAAGACAATAGGACAACAAAGCCTGGGGGTGGAGAGGGTGGCAGAGAGGGTCAGAGGGCGATCGGGCCGCAGGCCTCAAACCTGTGGGCACTGGCAGGTGTTCTCCCTCCGGGCCACTCACATGAACCACCTCAGGAGACAGCCCTCGACCAGGTCCAGCCTCGAGTCTGGGTCCTGTCAGGGTCTTGGTGTTGGCTAAGGGGGTATGGTGGGAGTTTCTCCTGGGGTTCAGGGTTTTCCAAAGCAACTCCTGCAACAACACAAGCAGCGAATGAGCTTGGTCTCTGAACATCCCTGCGTCCTGTGGTTGGTCACTCCCTCCTTGGGGTTCCTTATTTTGGTGTGTGCTAGATGCTGTGGCGCCCCCCAGTACACCTGCCTCTGTCTGACTCCCCAGCCTGAGTCTAGCTGTGGCTGTGCACTCGGGCCTGTGGCTTGCCTGAAGTGGGGAATCCGTGTCCCTGAGCAGGCCCTGATCAAGGGGCTAGGTGTTGATGCTCAGCTCCCTGGCCCCTGGGGATAACTCAGCTCTGTGCTGCGTCAGGCACCAGCTGTCCACTGGGGTGACTGGCAGTGATCTCTGTGCTGGCCCTCGCCTTCCCAGACTCACACCCTCTCCCTGCTGGTGTGCCTGGTCCATCCCCAGTGACACCCTCCACTGGGGCCCTTGTCTAGGGCTGGCTTTGGGAGAGATCAACCCAAAACTTTGCCTTCTCCTGGTTCTTAAGATAATAAATCCATATTCAGGGCAGAAAGATGAAAAGTTGGAAAGGGAACAAGGTAACCCAAATCACCCCAATCCCAGTGACTTGTGTGCGCTCCCTCCGGGCCTTTCCTCCTGGCAGCACTGTAACTGGCATTTGCACAGTGCCGGCTACGGTCACGCATGCTTATCTCCTTTCTCCTACCAGCAACTTCTCGAAGGAGTTACTGTTTTATTATCCCCATTTCACAGATAAAGGAACTGGGACATAGAAGGTTCAGGGAACCTTCCCAAGGCCACAGAGCTAACACGTAACAAACAGAAATTCTAACCCGGCAAATGTGTGACTGGCCTTAAAATAGGTGTATTTTACAAAATTGGCATCACACTGACCTTCCAATTAGCTTGCCATGAGCGTTTTCCTGTCTTAAAAGGCTGTGAAAGCATGATGTTTACAGTTGTTTGATAATTCATTTTCTAAGGGAACTCCAGAATTTATTTTTTGCTCTTCTCTGTTTTCTCTCTCTCTCTTCTTTTTCTTTCTTTTTAAAATTGCTGTTATAAACAACAACTAATGAATGTCTATCTTTGGGACATTTTAAAGGGTAGCACATCTTTTGGACAATGTTTCCCCAGCTCCTCCCTTTCCCCCCAACAATAGCACTTGGGGGTTAAGAGATAGTGTGGCCCCATTTGCCCGGTCCCCTCTCCCACACTGTGTACTCCAGCCCAGGTGCGAGGAGATGGAGCCAGGAAGCCCCCAGGGAGGGATGAGCTCATTCCATGACTTAGACTCCGTGAGAGTGATGAAGCTACTTGCAATGGGACACCTGAGGCCCAGGGCCTAGAGGGGCAGCTGCTCCCCCAAGGTGACACTGCAGAGCCAGGTGAGGACAAGGAACGAGGCTTTGATCTGAGTCCTTCCCACCTTAAGCTACTTTAACTTCTGAGATGAGGTATCCTGGTGCTGAGTGGTGCTTGGGGCAGGGGGCCTGGCCTCCTCGGTACCAGGGCAGTGGTCAGGATTCATGTCCTGTGTTTTTATGACCTGGGTGCAAAGACCACTCCCTGATTCACTTGGCTGCAGAAGCTCCCATTCACGGAGGGCATACTGTGAGCAGGGTCTTGAATTCCCATCCCCAGGGCCCCTGCTGGTACATAAACCATGGCAGGTGAGGTGTGCAATGTATCCCATTTTTAGCTTCAGTCAACTGATTCCAAGAACACGGTCCCGGTGGTTCAGACTTGGACTTCTCAGAAAAACTTGCAGGTCTGAGCTTTTAATGTATAATCTCTCATTTTTTTAAGTGTTAGCAACCAAATCCGCTTTCTCTTAATTTGTTGACTAGATTATGTGTATAGACAGGCAAGAGCCCTCATCCCTCCCTGTCTCCTGTGCCCAGTGACTGCTCCTCCATTCTTTTATATGAAAGAGGTGGTGTCCTTGTCGATTTTCTGCTGCTTATAAATAGAATACCTGAAGCTGGGCAATTTAAAAAGATGAATTTGTTTCCATAGTTCTGGAGGCTGAAAAATCCGAGGTGGAGGGGCCGCATCTGGTAAGGGCCTTCTTGCTGCAGCGGACACTCTGCAGAGTCCTGCAGGGCCTCACGTGGCAAGGGGGTTGAGCATGCGATCTCAGGCCGCACTTCCTCTACTAGTCCCACTCTCACGAGAACACATTAATCCCTTAGCCCATTAATCCATTAATCCACAAATGGATTAATCCATTCATGAAGGCAGAGACTGCATGATCCAATCACCTCTTAAAGGCTCCACCTCTCAGTACTGCCGCATTGGGGATTAAATTTCAACACAAGTTTTAGAGGGGATATTGAAACCGTAGCAGCTGGTATATATGTGCTATTCTGTACCTTTCTTATTTTACTTGATAACAGGTCCTGGAGCCCTTTTCTTATCAGTACTCAGAGAGCTTCCTCTTTCCACCCTAACAGCTGCATAGTATTCTACTGTGTGGAGGTACCAGTTGACTTAACCCAGTGGTTCTCACTCAGGGGAGATTTTGCCCTGACAATGTCAGGAGGCACATTTGACAGTCACCAGTGCGGTGTGTGTGTGTGTGTCTGTGTATACTGTCATTTAGTAGGTAGAGACCAAGGTTGCTGCTAAACCTCCTACAATGCACAGAATGATCCCCACAAAACAGATTTTTCTGTCCAAAATGTCCAATAGTACAGAGGCTGAGAAATCCTGATTTAATCCACCTAGAGTTCTCATATTTAGCAATAAGAATACAGGAATAAGGCATGAATGCACCTATTTTCCTAAACAAGCATTCATTGTTTATCTGAAGTTCAAATTTAAATGGGCATCCTGTATATCATCTGACACCCCTAAGTCCATCCCCTGTTGATGAAGACATGAGTTGTTTCCAGTCTTGTGCTATCACAAAAAGAGTAATGATGAACATCACTGCATATCTAGTTTTGTTCATGTACAAGTAAATCTATGGGATAAATTCCTCAAAATGATTAAATATCACAATTTGTAACTTTTATAGATACTGCCAAATTTCCCTTCATTAGGGTTGTATCAATTTACACTCCCACCAACAAGATATAAGCGTGCCTGTTTCCCCACTCCTTGGCCACCACAGTGTATTAATAAATTTGGGATTTTTGCCATTTTGATTGGTAGGAAATCTGATTAGAAAAACCTTGAAGACATTGTGAGCAAACTTGAGTGGAAAATGCATATGTGAAAAATGTTAAAATCCTGGGCCAAATTCAGCCTGTGGCAAGCCAGTTTGGTGTGTCCATTGTATGCCTGTTATTGCTGATCTTCACCATAGCTGGGTGCCCAGAAAGGTTCAGTCACCTGCCCAAGATCACACAGCTGGTCCATGATCATCATGTGAATGCTCACCTAGCATTAATACTAAGGTGGGTCAGGATGGGCACTGGATGGGCGGGCTGGGCCCCGGCAAGCTCACATCCCCCATGCTCACCCCTGAGTCTCTCTGGAAGCCTCCTCCTGCTGCATCATCACTCAGCCTTAAGCTGGCCCACTTGTCTGAGCACATGGCATTAGCAGCAACTGTGGCCCAAGAGTAGGTGTGGACGGCCTTGCTGAAGGCTGGACAGTCATGTTTGCCTCGGCTAATTGGTTAAATAGATTGTTCTACATGCACAGCGTTGAGCTTTCTGCTTTGATAAGGCATAATATTAATTTTAATTAAATCTCTGAAGGCTTGGCCAAATATTTCCATTTTCTGAACATGTCCCTTGATCATAGAGTTTATATTCCCTGGAGACAAGGCCGCTAGGAAGAGCTGCATCCCCCAGCCCCCTTCAGCCTCTGAGTGTAGGGGAAATGTGGGGGTGGGGTGGGGAAGGAGGTGGCTTGGCTCATGAGAGATTCACATGAACTGAGGACCTACTATGTGCCAGGCACTGTGCGTGGGCCTTCCATACCTTGTTTTCACTTGATAATACAAAATGGAATCTTAAATCCTCACTTGAGCAGTAAACACTGGATCAGTAGATTAAGAAGTTTGTTTAGAGTTATGTAGCTGCTAAGTGTGGGGTCAGGATCTCCCTGACTGAAGGGATCATGGGTGGTGACACCTGCAGTTTTGGCCCCTGTAGCTCTGCTCTGGAAACGATGCTTTGCTTTTCCTTTAGGGAGCCACCCCTCCCCTACTCAGTGCGATTCCCATAGAGCTAAGCTGCCCCTGCTCCCAGGCCACCCCAGCTCTGGAGGGGTCCACCACCTGGACCAGCCTGGGGTTCTCAGAGCACTTCACCCCGTGGCCTGGTGATTAGGGATGAACGTGAGACTCAAGCCTGGCCCCTGAGATCTAGTCCCGGGACTTTGGTTAGAGTCCATGGGAAAGAATTGCTGTCTTCCTAGTTGTTAGAGCAGGGTCTGGTACTATGGACAACAGCTTGTGGAGAGGAAGACAAAGCCAAGACATGGAGGCATGGGTGGGGAAAAGAAAGCAAATGCGTAGGGTGTATCATGTGAGCTCTGAGATTCAGCCGTGCCTGAAGGAAGACTGCCCTTGAACTTTTAACGTTATTTAAACCAGGAAATTATTAGGGTTTTCTTCCTTCTCTTCCTTCTTTATCTTTTTCTCTTCTCTTTCTCCTGGTCTTCTCCCCCTCCTCCTCCTCCTTGCTTAAGCAAGGTACTTAAAATCATTTCCTTGAGCGTCACTTTCCAGGTTCAACTCCAACAGTTGTGAAGTGCAGCCATGAAGAGGTGGGACACAGTGAAAAAGGTCCTTCCAGTCAACTAGCCATCTCAGGGGCAGCTTCCATCCTGAAGTGGCCTGCCCACTCCCTCTGATAGCTGCACTACCTCTGATAGGCATCTCAGCTGGCCCACCTCTCACTGCCAGCTCTGGCACACACCCCTGGCCTCCTGTTTGTGTGGCACTTTCGCTCCTGTTCTGGGCCCCTCAGTAGCTTGTCTTCTTAGCCAATTTTGGGCCTAGGCTCCCCACCCATGAGCTCGGAAGTCACCACTTCTTGGAGTTGTTGGAGAGCTAGGGTTTAATTTGGTGTTGAGTCCAGGTCAAATAAGGGAAATATCCAAGGCTGAGTAAGCGGTCCAGAGGTCCAGAGAACCCCACAGTGAGACTGTGTTTACCATTCACACATATGCATGTGAGTGCACCTTCACACATGCAGACGTACACGCAACCCTACAGATCCATTTGTGTGTGTATCTGTAGAGAGGGAGTCTGTGGTCAGGCTCAGAAAAATGCTGGGGGTTGTTCTGGGTGGCATGGCGTTTGCTTGCAGAATGTCTTTCTGGGTTACTGGAGTTTTCTAAAATGAGTACACATTATCTTTGCAAATAGAAATACATACGTGTATATATATCTCATATAATGTTTCAAAATTAGTTGCAAGTGTAAAAAATTGTAAGAAGAAAATGTAAAAAAATTTCACACAAAATATTCCCAGGGGCGGTGCCTCATTAGCCAAGCATGGTGGCTCATGCCTGTCATCCCAGCTACTTGGGAGGCTGAGGCAGGAGGATGGCTTGAGCCCAGGAGGTCGAGACTGAAGTGAGCTATGATTGTGCCACTGCACTCCAGCCTGGGTGACAGAGCCAGATCCTGTCTCAATAAATAAATAAATAAATAAATAAATACTCTCACCAAGAGAGGAGTGCCCATTTTCTCGCCATCTTTCCAACACAGGATATAATCAGTTCTTATAGTTTTTGCCAATCGAATGGGCAAAATCTGGAATTAGATTTTTTATTTTAATTTGCAGTTGCATAATTAGTGAGATTGAGCTTCTTTTCATATGTTTATGGGCTGTTTATTTTTCTCTGCAAGTAAATTTCCTGTTTATGTCCTTTGCCATTGTTTCTGCTGGGTTGCCTGTCTTTTGCTTATTAGGGACTTCTAAAAACATCTCTTTAGAGTATTAATGTTTTTCCCGTAATAAATGTTGTATTTTCTCCCAGCCTGTCTTTCGTGTTGAATTTGTTTATGGTGTCTTTTCCCTTATAGAACTTTCCATTTTATATCGTCAAAAGGATTTCCTTTATGGCGTCTCAGTCTTTGGTATTGCTTAGAAAGGCCGTTTCTGCTCCAAGTTCTACGGAGCTTGTGCCACATTTTAAGCCTGTGCTTTTATGGAATCTTTATGTTCAGAATATTGATCTATCTGAAATTTATCACCTCATATGCTGTGAAGTAGAATGCCAATTTTATTGTGTCCAAGATTCCCGTATAGTCACCAAGTGGTTCCTGAACTTTCTATGTCCTGTTGCTGTTATTATTTTTAATTCTGGGCTGTTCCTGTGCCTTCCACATGACCTGAAGGAATCAGCTTGTCAAGTTCCTCAGAAAAATTCTGTTGGGTTTTGATTGCTATCATACAGAATTAACTTATTAATGACTGTATGTATTTACTAGAAACCAGGGGCCAATATTGAGTTAATTATTTATTTATTGGACACCAGAGGCAAAAATTAAGTTACTTATTACTCTTCATTTCACGGCCCGCTATTATCATCCATGCAATGCTCTTTTCTTACTTTGTAGTAATTATTTCCCCTTTTCCCTCCTAATTCCCACTCCTAAGTAGGTACTTACTTAGGAGTTTGTTTGATAGTTGTCTTTGGATAGTTATCAGTCCTTATGAAATATTTAGTGTTGTTTTGTGTCAAGTGCAATACATTTTTCAATGATCGTGTTTTAAAACATGTCTAGGTAGCTATATGTGTATCCAATTTATTGCTTCTAGTAGTGGCATAGCATTTCTCACACAGCATCTAACATTGTTTTCTTTTTAAGTTTTAAATTTTTTGTAGAGTGAGGTCTTGCTCTGTTGCTCAGGCTGGTCTTGAACTTCTGGCCTCAAGCAGTCCTCCCACCTTGGCCTCCCGAAGTGTTGGGATTACAGACGTGAGCCACTGAGCCCAGCCTATCACTGTTTTCTTAAACAGTCCCCTGGCAATGAGTACGAAGGATGCCTCCAGCTCTTGGGTTCCTTAAACAATGCTTGGTTGAACATCTTTGTACTTATTCTCCTGTGGAGCTCGGCTCACATTTCTTAAGAGCCTGCAGCCAGGAATGGGTTTGCTGCATCACTTAATTTCCACTAAACGCTGCCTGATTGCTCTTCAGAAAGGCTGCACCCGTTTCTCTCCCACCCAATGCATGCACCATCCTGATTTCCTGTGTCTTTGCCAATGCAGAGTTTTTTCTGGCTTCCTAATTTTTACCACTGTGGTGGGGTAATTGTTTTAATGTGCATTTTCTGATTACGAATGAAGTTAAGCATCTCTCCATGTACTTAAGAACTATTTGGGTTTCCCTTGCTATGAGTTGCCTAATCATATCGCTTATCCTTTTGCTGTTGGGTTGATTATTTTGTTGTTAATCTGCAGACATTTCTTGTATATTCGTGGATGTTAGATAATGCAAATATCTTCTGCAGTCTATCACTTGACTCTATCTTTGTGTGCCTTTATCCAACAAAATGCTTCATTTTTATATAATCAAATCCATCTTTTTTCTACTTTGTGATTTGTGCTTTTATGTCTTAAGAGGTCTTCCTCCGCCCTTAGTTACAAATATATTCTCTTACATTGTTTTTTTCTATTAGGTTGACCTTTTATATTTAGGTTCACCTTAGTAAATGATTAATACATACCTTGGATATGAAGTTCCCTTAGTATATGATCAAAAGTAGGGATTTAACTTTATTTTGCCACTTATAATGAGTCAATTTCCCTACTACTGTTTCCAGGACACACTGTGCTGAACAGAAGTGCCTGGTCAGGCATTCTTAATTGATTTCTAATTTTAAAGAGAATGTATTTAACATGTCTATATATAAAGGCTTTTGGGTTTGGGTATACACCCTTTATCAGGTTGAGGAAGTTTCCTTCTATTACTTTTCTTGGTGTTCTTATCATGCATAGATAGGAATTGGACATGAATAAAGTCATTTCTGTGTCTATTGATATAATCCTGTGACTTTTCCCTTAGGTTATTAATTGGTGGATTTCACTGATAAATATTCTAATATTAAACTTTCTTTTAATTTCTTGCATAAATCCTATTAGGTAAACTACTTTTTCAAAAAGGGAATTGTTCATCAAGGTGTAACTTGCACACAAAAGGGAGATGAAATGGTAAATGAATGCAACAGTGGAAGCAGCGTCTCCATCAAGAAGCAACATGACCATCTGTCTGGAAACTTCTCAGCCCCTTCCCAGGTCTTGCCCTCCAAGGGCAACCACCGCCTTGACTTCTAACACCATTGGTTAGCTTTGTCTGCTTCTAACTCTTATGTTAGTGGAATCATGAGATGCATTATGTTTTAAAATATTCTGTTGGGTTTGATTCACAAATATTAGTTTAAGAATCTTTGCATTTATATTCATAAGTGACATGGCTTGATGATGTTCTTGTCTTGTCCTGTTCTTCTCCAATTTGGGATTGAGATTTTTCTAGCTTCATAAAATAACTAGGGCAGCTTTCTCTCTTTTCTTTGTTTCTGAACAACTTGCCTATAATGAGTTTTTCTTTTTTTTAATTTTTTAATTTTTTTATTTTTATTTTTTTTTGAATTGAACTGGGTTTTAATTTATTTTTTTTATTTTTTAATTTATTTTTATTTTTTTTATTATACTTTAAGTTTTAGGGTACATGTGCACATTGTGCAGGTTAGTTACATACATATACATGTGCCATGCTGGTGCGCTGCACCCACTAACTCGTCATCTAGCATTAGGTATATCTCCCAAAGCTATCCCTCCCCCCTCCCCCCACCCCACAACAGTCCCCAGAGTGTGATATTCCCCTTCCTGTGTCCATGTGATCTCATTGTTCAATTCCCACCTATGAGTGAGAATATGCCGTGTTTGGTTTTTTGTTCTTGCGATAGTTTACTGAGAATGATGATTTCCAATTTCATCCATGTCCCTACAAAGGACATGAGCTCATCATTTTTTACGGCTGCATAGTATTCCATGGTGTATATGTGCCACATTTTCTTAATCCAGTCTATCATTGTTGGACATTTGGGTTGGTTCCAAGTCTTTGCTATTGTGAATAATGCCGCAATAAACATACGTGTGCATGTGTCTTTATAGCAGCATGATTTATAGTCCTTTGGGTATACACCCAGTAATGGGATGGCTGGGTCAAATGGTATTTCTAGTTCTAGATCCCTGAGGAATCGCCACACTGACTTCCACAATGGTTGAACTAGTTTACAGTCCCACCAACAGTGTAAAAGTGTTCCTATTTCTCCACATCCTCTCCAGCACCTGTTGTTTCCTGACTTTTTAATGATTGCCATTCTAACTGGTGTGAGATGGTATCTCATTGTGGTTTTGATTTGCATTTCTCTGATGGCCAGTGATGATGAGCATTTTTTCATGTGTTTTTTGGCTGCATAAATGTCTTCTTTTGAGAAGTGTCTGTTCATGTCCTTCACCCACTTTTTGATGGGGTTGTTTGTTTTTTTCTTGTAAATTTGTTTGAGTTCATTGTAGATTCTGGATATTAGCCCTTTGTCAGATGAGTAGGTTGCGAAAATTTTCTCCCATTTTGTAGGTTGCCTGTTCACTCTGATGGTAGTTTCTTTTGCTGTGCAGAAGCTCTTGAGTTTAATTAGATCCCATTTGTCAATTTTGTCTTTTGTTACCATTGCTTTTGGTGTTTTAGACATGAAGTCCTTGCCCATGCCTATGTCCTGAATGGTAATGCCTAGGTTTTCTTCTAGGGTTTTTATGGTTTTAGGTCTAACGTTTAAGTCTTTAATCCATCTTGAATTGATTTTTGTATAAGGTGTAAGGAAGGGATCCAGTTTCAGCTTTCTACATATGGCTAGCCAGTTTTCCCAGCACCATTTATTAAATAGGGAATCCTTTCCCCGTTGCTTGTTTTTCTTGTTTTTCTTAGGTTTGTCAAAGATCAGAAAGTTGTAGATATGCGGCGTTATTTCTGAGGGCTCTGTTCTGTTCCATTGATCTATATCTTTGTTTTGGTACCAGTACCATACTGTTTTGGTTACTGTAGCCTTGTAGTATAGTTTGAAGTCAGGTAGTGTGATGCCTCCAGCTTTGTTCTTTTGGCTTAGGATTGACTTGGCGATGCGGGCTCTTTTTTGGTTCCATATGAACTTTAAAGTAGTTTTTTCCAATTCTGTGAAGAAAGGCATTGGTAGCTTGATGGGGATGGCATTGAATCTGTAAATTACCTTGGGCAGTATGGCCATTTTCATGATATTGATTCTTCCTACCCATGAGCATGGAATATTCTTCCATTTGTTTGTATCCTCTTTTATTTCCTTGAGCAGTGGTTTGTAGTTCTCCTTGAAGAGGTCCTTCACATCCCTTGTAAGTTGGATTCCTAGGTATTTTATTCTCTTTGAAGCAATTGTGAATGGGAGTTCACTCATGATTTGGCTCTCTGTTTGTGTGTTGTTGGTGTATAAGAATGCTTGTGATTTTTGTACATTGATTTTGTATCCTGAGACTTTGCTGAAGTTGCTTATCAGCTTAAGGAGATTTTGGGCTGAGACAATGGGGTTTTCTAGATATACAATCATGTCATCTGCAAACAGGGACAATTTGATTTCCTCTTTTCCTAATTGAATACCCTTTATTTCCTTCTCCTGCCTAATTGCCCTGGCCAGAACTTCCAACAGTATGTTGAATAGGAGTGGTGAGAGAGGGCATCCCTGTCTTGAGTTTTTCTTTTCTTTGAAAGTTTGCTTGAACTCCCTTGTGAAATGATTTTGGCTTGAGCTGTCTAGAGAAGTGGGTACTTGGTTACTATTTTAACTTCTTTAATCGTTATTGATCTATTTAAGTTTCTGTTTCTTTTTGTTCCAATTTTGGCATTTTATGTTTTACCAGAAATATATCTACTTTGTCCAGAATTCCAAATTTGTAGACTAAACAGTTGTTTGTAATAGTGATTACTTTGGAATTTTATATTATGCCTGTAGTGATTTTCTGTTTTTTGCTCTATATTTTGCTTATTTGCAATTTTCTCCCTTTTTCAGATATGTGGGAATTTTTTAAAAAGCCATCCTCCTCTTGTTACTGCTTTTGTTTTATTACATTATGGTTAGAGAATGGGTTTATATGATATTGATTTCTTATTTAATTTAGGGAGGCTTCACTTGTGCTTAATACGTGGTTGATTTTGTGAATGGTCCATGTGTGTTCAAAGATAACACATTTTGTCTCTGTTGGGTGGAAATTTTTATATCTATTTAAATATATCTTTCATATACATTTGCTTATGTTTGTTGTCTGGATCTATTAGTTCCTACGACAAATGTGTTACAATTTTCAGCCATAGTTTTTGAGTTCTCTATATCTCTCCATAGTTCTTTCAGTTGTTATTTTATATATATTCGAGGCTGTATTTTAGGTGAACATATGTTCATTATTAGCATGATATATCTCAATTCGTTGTTCTTTTTAACAAAGTAAAATGTCTCTTTTTGTCCCTTTTGATTTTTTTTTGCCTTGATTCCTGTTTTTCTCTTCTGATATTAAAGTTGCTGTGTTCTTTGTTCCTTATTTGCCTGATTTTTTTCCTCTTCGTTTCTTTTATTTTCATCTCTTTAATTGTGTCTCCTATAGACATTACTGGATTCTTTTTAAAAAATCTGAGACTCTCTGTCTTCGTTTGGTGCAGTTGCACCATTTATATTTAATTGAATCCTTGTTATATTAGGATCTATTTCTCCTAAAGTCTTTTTTGTTTTCTATTTATCACATTTTCTTATTTTTAAAATGTTGCCATATTTCAACAGATAGATCAAAATTTCTACTATTGATTTGAAATTTGGGCATTCCATTTTCATCTTTTAGAGCTTACCCATAACATATTTAGACTTTTACTCATGAGTATTTTTATCCAGTGTACGTTATTAGTCAAATTAGCTTATACTTCCAAAGGAATATGGACTCCCAAGGGGGAAAAAGACAACATCGTGTGAGCCTGGGGACTATGGTGGAGAAACAAAGATGGCTTCCAACGGCTGTGGATGTGAGCCGTTCCTCCTCACATCCAGAGGTAGAGCCACATTCCTCTCCCTCTGATCTGGGCTGGCTTTGGTTACTCATCCTCCTCAATAGAATATGGAGGGATGGCGTTTTGGGCTGGGTCATATAAAAACTTAGAACTTCCCTGGGTCTTTTGGAATGCTAGTGTTTGAGAGGTTCCCTCTCAGATCTTAACTATCATGCAGAGAGAAAACAAGCCACATGGAGAGACCACGTGTAGGCACCGTGACCAACCACCCAGCTGACCTCCAAACCAACAGCCAGCAAGAACTGCCAGCCCACACTGCGGCCAGGACAAATAACTGCTTCAACGTTGTTTCATCTGGGCGGGTGCTGTTGTTTCATTCCTGCCTTATACAGGTGAGGGGATTGACAACAGTCCTCTCAGTGTGCCAGGGAGAGAAAAGAGCAGAGTTAGGAAGCATTGCCCTGGCTGGGCATCATGGTGCGCGCCTGTAGTCCCAGCTACTTAGGAGGCTGAGGAGGGAGGATTGTTTGAGCTCAGGAGTTCAAGGTTACAGTGAGCTATAATCATGCCACTGCACTCCAGCCTGGGCAACAAAGAGAGACCCTATCTTAGAAAAAAGAAAAAAAAAAAAAGCATTCCTCTAACCTAATCCACTCCAACATTGACTGGCTCTTTTCCACTCTGGACTGTCATCCTTCCCTCTCCCTGCACACACACGTGCACGCACACACACACACACACAAGCACACGCGCACACACGCCAGAACTCAACCACCTTCTGTCTCATAGTTTTATGCTGGCTTCTCAGATCCATCAACCTCCCCTTCTCTGCTGTGGTATCTCTAATGCTGGGTTTTGGGCAGGGAGCCAACAATCTGTGCTTGGTATCTTGTTTGCAGTGAATTTATAGACTCCTTGGGGGAGAATCGATCCCTTTGTGTTCAAGAATGTAGTAGTTTCTCTACTTACTTAAGTTTTTGTTTATGTAAAGTTTGATCTTTTTTTCATATAGATCTTGTTACATGTATTATTAATTATTTTCTAGTTTTTGTCACTATTGTGAATGGGCTACATCTTTTCCCCCAAATGTTTTCTAACTGGTCATGGTTGTTGGTTTGAACTTGCTAGGTCATGTCTAGTCACTTGCTGGACTCTCTTATTTGTTCTTATAGATTTTCTAGATAGGCAGTTATATCATTTGCAAACGATGACAGTTTATTATTATTACTTCTGTCTAGAGACTCTTCTTTCTTGTTCTTATTGCAGGGCTTCTTAGGGCTCAGACTTGAAGGTCCCAGAGTATTCCTAAGTCCCAAATTCAGATGCAATGCCTGTTGGCTTTGCATTCCCTGGAATCTCAAGTCCCTTGCATAATAGGGTGGGAGGGGGCATTTGTCGTTTTCTCCCAACTCTGATGGGGATGCTTCTAAAATTTCACCGTTAAGTGTCAAGTTTACTAAGAGTTTCTAATGGACAATCTCTGTTAAATTAATGAATTTCCCTTCTATTTCCTAGCTTACTAATCAGAAGTTTTACAAGTCAGAAACAAATGTCGGATTTTATAAATTGCTTCTTTGGGGGTATCTATGTAAATGATCATATGACTTTTCTTATTTAATATGTGAAAATAATGGATAATATTACATTCATTATCTTGAGCTGTCTTTCAATTCCTGGATTACAATCTATTTTATCATGACCGATTAATCTTTTGATTATATTTTGCATGTAATTTGTTGATATTTTACTTAGGCTTTTGGAAAATCTTTAATGTGGGATATTGGTTTACACATTTCTTTTAAAAATTATCCTTGCCTAGTTCTTTTAGAAAGAGGTGGAATGTTTTCCATTTTCCTTGGTTCTCAAACATACATAATCAAAAATTTTAAAAAAATTGATCAAGAACTCAAGTTAAAAGGTAAATCAAAACAAAAATTAAAAATGACCTAAAGATGAACAGCAGTGATAGCATGACATATCAAAATATACAGGCTGCTGCCAAATCAAAGCAAACATTTATCTGAAGACAAAATGCATTTATTTGGAAAAATATGGCTGAAAGTAGAGTTAGCTAAGAGTTCTGCAAGACAGGCTGTAAAACAGAAGAAAGTTTTAAGCTCTAGGGATGAATATATAAATATATGCTTAGATTTAAAAATAGGGCTGAAAAATATACTCCAAAGTATTCATAAAGGTTAGCTCTGAATGAATAGGAGGGTGAAGCTGAGAGAATAAGAATAATTGCAAGAGGAAACTCTCATGTTTGGCTCTATGCACTTCTGTATTGACTGGCTATTTTACAGGGAGGATATGTTTTTACACTCCCTTTGATTTTTAAAACCTATTTTTTTAAAAATTAAAAAGATCATGCCAGTCACATTTCCCAAACACAATGCAAATAAAACTAGAAATGAACAAGAGGGGAGCACCCTCAAATCCATCCACTTGGAGATTTAAAAACAAATCTAAATAATGTGAATTAAACAATAACTCAAAACTGAATTATCAACTATTTAGAAATGAACAGCAATAAAGGCACTGCATAAAAAAACCCACAGGATACCACCCAAGCCATGTGTACTTAGAGGAAAATGAATAGCCTTAAATGCAGTCATTAGTAAAGAGGAAAGATTAAAAAGATAAGAGAAGCATTTACCTCAATAAGCTAGGAAATCAACATCAGAATAAATCTGAAGAAAGCAGACTGAAGGAATTAATGAAGAAAAGGAGCAGAAATTAATGAAATAGAATAAAACAATAGTAGATGAGATATAAATAGGAAAGATAATTCTTTGAAAAGACTGATAAGCCAGACAAAACTAGTAAATCTGATCAAGAAAACATATCAGTAACCATGCAGAAGGGGGATTATAGATACACAGATATGTTAAAATATGGGAGAATACAAAGCATATTTTTTGCCAATAAATCTAATTATCAAAGGTAAAATGAATACTTTTTAGGAAAAATCACATATGTACAAAGTGGCAGATGCTGCAACTTGGCTAACCCGACCTCTGCCCCAATCCCTTCCAGCAGGCCTGTCTCCACCCCATAAGTGGAAAAGCTAAAAACTATACTTTCCATATGTCCTTGCAGCTCAAGTTGAGTGTGTGGCTTGGACTGAGCCAAGCAGGTTATCAAAGCAGGACTCCAGAGGCAAAAGTGAGCTACAGTTGGTGGTTGAGGGGACTGTGTTTTTACCAGGAGGGGAGAGCCTGCCTGAGAATGAAGCCAACAGCAGAGGGAGGTGTAGCTTAGAAGTGGCAAAAGATGGATTCCTGGCACTGTTCCTGGATCCAGCTGTGCCTGAAGTCCCAAGGCTTCTCTGGCACACTAGCCAAAAGATCTCTTTCCTTTTATTTGTGCCTGCGTGAGATGGGATTATGCTTTTTACCATAGCAAGAGCCCTGCTTAACACAAGAGGAGTGACGAGCAATGGGCTGAGAGGATGGCAGGAGCCAGGTCATGTGCAGAAAGATTGTCTCTTGTGGCAAAAGCATTAGGCTCAGCCCAGACAGTTGTGGTAGAGGCACCCAGTGGTGAGTGGTGGAGGCAGTGGGTTTCTGTCAGGACATTGTGTTGGAGGGAATGGAATGTCTCCTCCCTTTTGTCTATGTTGCTCACCTTCACAGAAACTCAAGAAGCTTTCTAAACTCTGCAGTATACAGTGTTTTGCCCTTAACCAGCTGTGGTCTACATCTCTGGCTCATACACTGAAATTGAATCAAGAAGAAGCAAGGGGAAACATTATGAACAGACCTATTCAAAAAAGCAATTAAAAGGTAGCCTAATAAAAAAAGAAAGAAAGAAAAAAGAAGGCATCAGGTCCAGACAGTTTTATGGGGAAGTTCTGCCAAACCTTTAAGGAACGGATAACTCCTTTGTTGGAAATCCTGCTTTGTGTGTTCAACCTTCCCATTTTTATATGTTGTTAATGAATTCAGGTTTACATGCGCCTTGCAGGTCGGCATGCCGTGGGCTGAACCAAACAGGCTTATGGATTGGGTGTTGCTTGTGGGAGCCTCCTGTTTGCCCCTCCAATGCCCGGAACCCAGGGAATGGTTCACTCATTCATTCCTGAGTACGCCTACATGCCCGTGCTGTTCTGGGCATGGGAATACAGCAGTGAGCCAAACAGACAAACCCCTGTAGTTGTGGGATTGACTGCGGACAGTGCTCTAGCAGGGGAAACAGCCGCTGCAAAGGCCCTGGGGCAGGAGCAGCCTGCTTGTCATGTTCATAGAAGGTGGGAGGCCAGGGCGGCTGGAGCCAGTGATTGGGGTTGGGGGAAATGAGTAGGAGAGGAAGGAGGTCCGGCCTGAGCATGCCCGGGAGGCCACTGAAGGGCTCTGGCTTTTTCTTTGAGTGATGTGAGGAGGAACAGGATGGGGCTTGTGCTTCAGTAAGATTTCTCTGGCTACCCCAATGAGAAGAGACTGTAGGGGGATCAGATCAGTGTAGGGCTAATGCTGTTGTACAGATGACAGGCTTGGGCCAGGGTGGCAGCTGTGGAGGTGTGAGAGGGGCCTCACACAAGTGCGTTTACAGGGAGGGCTGGCAGGACTTTTCAGTGGGTTCCAGATGGGGTTGAGGAAAGAGATGCCCATGAGCTGTGCCAGTGTCCACCCAGGTGAGTGCAGAGGCCCCCAGGCATTGGGAAGCTGGCACTGTGTAATGAGAAGTGGTACCTGCCTCTGGGTAGGCTAAGGACGTGCAGTTTGGGAGCAGGGGTCAGGGCAGGGCTCCATGGCTCTCAGTGACCACAGGGACAAGGGCAGAAGGGGATAGTGTATGTGCCGGGGAGAGATGACTGGTGGGTGGTGGAACTGGGGCTGTTCCTAGCCCCGATCTTGCGTCCAGCTTCATTTCTAAGCACATCTTTCTCCCCCGCCATGCTGGGAAGTGCAATTTTGCTGCTATTGAAATACAATGTGCCTTCTCTTTCCTCGATCTCTCTGCTTTAATTGTGTACCCTGGCTCTGCGCCTCAGCGCTGGCCGGCTCGGAGATTCAGAATTTCAGGCTGACACCATAGTAACCACTTAGTTTGATTCAAGATTCCAGTGTCATCCCTGGCTGCGCTTGAATAGGACGGGGTGGGGGGTGGGAGCAGGGGAGGGGGCAACTGAAGACAGCTCCCTAGAGCAGCAGCAATTGTTTCTTCGTTTCCAAGGAAAATGTAAACAGAAGGTCAGCTTTGGCCAGGCTTCTGAATTTTCCTCCCTTTGTGGCGACAGGTTGATTTGGGGAAATTGGTCCTGTTTGTTATTTGGCCTTCTGGGCTTCCCCTCCCCCTCAGCTGGGACAGAGGCAGTGGCAGCTGCAGTGACAGGGATGGGGCCGAGTGCTGCAGAGCAATGCACGTCCGATGGGAGATGAGCCTCGAAGCAGCTGCAAATGCAGTCAGAGCCTGCCTGGCATCCTGAACAGCCCCCACCTCGTGCTAGCCCCACCCCAGCCTGCACGGGCCCCTGGGCTGGGGCCAATGCTAGCTAACGCCCAGAGAATGGCCCGGAGTTGGCCCTGCTTCCCCCTCCCAGCAGAAGCCATGAAGCTCTACCGTCCAGCCCTCCCAGTCCCCTAGCTTGTGCCAGCCTGTCCTGGTGGGATTCTGTAGCCCCTCTCCCAGCAGCTGGGGCGTGGTGTTACTTGTGCTGCCTTAGCTCTGGGCCCAGCAAGCCGCAGCTTCCCACAGCCCTCCCACCATACCACTCTTCTAGTGGCTCCCTGCCTTGGTTGCCCCACTTGTTCTCCAGGCCTCCTGTGGGCTCTGCCTCCCAGCTGGCCTGTGCTCCTGGAGCCACCCTGCTGGAGCCTGTTCTGTGAGCCCCTCTAAACCACTAACGCCACCAAGGCTTCTGGTGGCTGTGATTCCTTTACCTGTCCGAGCCTCAGTTTTTTCATGTGTGAAATGCAGACAAACATAGTGCCCTGTCTGCAGATGTGTTGAGGTCTCAAGTTCTCATGGTACTCAGAGACCGTGGCTCCCCACAGAGCTACACCTTCACCTCAAGTCCAGCTTCCCCCAGGACTCACTGGAGGTGGCAGGCCTGGTCAGCACCCCGTATTGTGTTATCCAGCTCCCTAGAGCCCCAGCTGAGCAGGCACATGATCAGAGTCCAGAGACACAGCTGATGACAGTGTCACTCACGTGGCGTATCAGGGACTGGCGGCTTCGTGGAGTGCTTCCTTGCCTCACCCGGCCCCTTCTGCATCTTGAGATCTGTCTCTTGTCACATTCCATTTCCAGGTGGCAATTTCAGAATCAGCAAAGCCTCTTTTGGTTGCAAGTAGCAGGGCCGGGGAGGCCAGGTGAAGTCCTTCAGGCACCACTGGGTCCAGGCGCTCGGTGGTAACATCACCCTGCGCTCCTCTGATCTAGCGGCCAGCTTCCTTCTGTGGCTCTGAGGAGGGGCGAGGCGGCGATCGGCTGCTCTGGGTTTACTTTCTGTCACTCTAGCAGAAAGAAAACCTCTCTGCCCAGCATCCATCAGGCAGTCCCAGAGAGGACTCCCAGTGGCCCTGGTGGGTCCTTTGCCCACCTGCTTGCTTTCCTGGGACCAACTGCAGCCTCCAGGGTGGGCAGTGGTCTACGGATGGCCCATCCTGGTGATAGAGCTCACCAGGGGCTGGTGTGTGTGTGTGTGTGAGAGAGAGATTTTTCCCCAGGTGAGGGAGGGGTGTGTGTGTGTGTGTGTGTGTGTGAGATTTTTCCCCAGGCGGGGGAGGTGTTGTTGCTGTGGAAGGGAAGGGCAGGCCTTTGAGGTCTGGCCTTCTGTGAGGCTGCTGTTCCTGACTGCCTGGACCCTCAGGGCCACTCCCTATCCTGGGCCTGAACTCCCTGAAACAAGGAGTGAATGTGCCATTCATGTTTTATGGCTGTCTGGAGCTTCCCAGCTTCCTGGGCCAGGAAGCTGCCTCTGGTCTGACCTCACTCCTCACCAACCCCGGGAGCCCAGGCAGGCCCAGCAGACACCGTCCCCAAACACGCAGTCCCTCTCCCTCAGCCTCCCACTGGAGCCGCCTTCTCCTCTCTCCTCTCCCATCCTGCCTTCTTTCCTTTGTGCCTTCCTCCTGTCTACCTTCAGTACACATTTACTGAGCACCTGCTGTATGCTGGCACTCTGCTATGGGCCCCGGGGAGCTGGCCAGGAGCCAGAGATCTGTGCCTGCCTTCTCAGCATTCACAGTCTGGGGTAGGGGAGAGAGACATGAATTGAAGGGCCACACAGTTCTAGGATTCCAAACTCTGGAGAGTTCTAGGAAGAAGGGTGTGGGGACGGTGTCCACCAGGGCCCTCTGCAGTCAGGGAAGCTCCAGGAGGAAGCAACACTGTGGCTGAGAGTTAAACAATGAGTTCGCAGAAGGAACGGCATGCACAAAGGTCCCGGGGTGGGAAGGAAGGCAGTGTGCATGCATGCAGGGAGAGGGGAGGCAGTGTGTGTGAACAGAGAGAGGGAGGCAGTATGTGTGAACAGGGAGAGGGAGGCAGTGTGTGTGAACAGGGAGAGGGGGGCAGTGTGTGTGAACAGGGAGAGGGAGGCAGTTCATGTGAATGCAGGGAGAGGAAAGGCAGCGCATGTGAATAGGGAGAGGAACGCAGTGTGTGTGAACACAGGGAGAGGGAATCAGTGGCCGGTGGGGGTGCAGATTGGGGTGGCGAGGCCAAGACCACACCTCTGGCCAGCTACTGCTCCTTCAGGAGGCAGCTGAGGTTTCGTCTCTTCCAGGAAGCCCTCCCTGAATGCTTCCTTGAGCCCTTCCTTTGGCCCTTGCTGTCCTTCCATTTCCGTGCTGAACTGTATTTGGTCGCGCATTTGTCTGTTTTCATCTCTGGGCTTTGAGTGCTTTAAGCGCAGGGCTGTTGGCTGTTATTGCCGAGTCCCCAGCACCCGGTGTGAGTCCGGACTCACAGGAAGCAAGTGGGGTAGTCTGGAAACGGTTTGTTCAAATGGCAGTGGGGTCGTAGAACTCAGTGAGAAAGACACAGACCCAGCCATGGCCCTGCCGGTCCAAGGACGTTCACTTCCTCATCGCTGCTAGGGTGGCAGGCTGTCGAGGGCCTAGAATTCTACGTCCAGGCTGGGAACCTCAGCCAGGGTCTCACTGAAGTCCTCAGAAAGATGTAGCTCAAAACACTGTGTATCATTTTCCTCCACCAGTGTTGAGCTGATGGAGAATGACCAGGAAGCCCTGTGGCTTCTGCGTTTGGGTGAGTCCTGGGGCACGGTGTAAGTGCTGAAGGAGGGGAGCTAATGGGGGCTCCTCTAAGGGGAAAAAGCTAGGTTTATCCTCTCTTGATACTGTTAGAAAGTTGACCTCCTCACTATAGAACATTTGGAAAATACTCAAAAGTAGAAAGGAAGGAGGGAGTGGGGAAGGAGGGAGAGAAGGAGAGGGATGAAGTGACAGGAAGAGAGACTTTGAAAGGGGAGGAGAGAGAGACAGAGACGGAGAGAGAGGGAGACAGAGAGTGAGGGAGAGAGTGGCAGACGGAGGAGGGGAGAGACAGGGAGATAAAAGGAGGTGGGGGGAGACAGAGAGAGGGAGGAAGAGGGCACAGAGAGAGAGGCAGAGGGAGAGAGGGAGGGAGAGGAGGAGAGAGAATGGGGGAGGAAGAGACGAAGAGGAGAAAGAGAGCTCCATTTCCACTGCTCACAGAATATGGTGTATTCCAGAATGGCTTAAGCATTGACTTTAAAATCCAGCTCTGTCTCCTGCCAGCTTTGGGGCCTGAGGAACTATTCCCCTGTCCCTCTGAGCGGCTTCCCTCCCTGTGAAATGGGTGCAGGAACAGTCCTGGGGTGAGAATCCCGTGGCTCAGGAAGGCTGGGGCGCCCTGGCCATTGGCATTCTGCTCTCCCCATGTTGCTAGAAACACTCTTAAACCATACTTTAATTCTTGTGAAGATTCTGAAACCCCACGCTAACCATGTTCTACCTGCTGCATAAGCGCGGACTGAGGAGCTTCGGGTAAGGTGGGCACCTCCAGCCCCGGGCCTTCCCCAGGCGCCCCCCAGCCTTGGGCGTCTGGGCCCAGCCTCGGGCGTCTGGGCCCAGCCTCCCGCCTCCACCTCACAGAGAAGCAGCAGGGCTCCCCGCAGATGGAGAGGGGTGACTGTGTCTCGTAGCACTGGCCTGTTTCCTAGGAAACCCAGCCGCGGAGGAGGGACTGGTGAGCACTCCCGGGGTTCTCCGATGTGGGAGGGGGCTCTGCAAGGCCCCAAGTCTGGCCCGTCCATTTGCTGCGCTCCGGACCTGGTCCTGGCCCCCTTGGGTCTCAGTTTCAGCACGTGTGTGTATGGGCCAAGGGTTGGGGGGGCCCAGGCTCCTGGCTCTGCTGCAGCGGGCACTGCCAGCTGGCCGCCCACCAACCTCCAGCAGACCCCTCACTCCGGATCTGCATCTTCCCTTAGGGGCTCCTCACACTCAGCCCATGCCCCTCCGCACAACCTGCCCAGCCAGGGTCCCGGGTACCTGCTAGTTGCTGGGCTTTCTGTGCTCAGGGGCCTTCCTTGTCCCTCTGGGACACCCCCTGGAGATCGAGGGAAACCTCATGCCATGCTTGGTCAGCTCTGGGGCCACTCCCTGCCCCCACCTTCAGTCATGCTGCTCCCAGGAGGTAGAAGGATTTCCAAACAATCTCTCAGCTCACCTCGCCCTCTCCATTCTGGAAGCCCTGGCACACAGCACCCTTTTCTGTCTGCTCCTTGGAGTAACAGTAGTAGTAGGTCCCATTTGTCATGCTCCTGGCATGTGCCATGGGCATCCCGTTCATCATCTCTGATTTTCGCAGCTACCTGGTGATGCCCTTTGTGCAGATGATAAAACTGAAGCTCAGAGAGACCAAGACTTCACAGACTCCAGAGCCTTGGTGCACATCAATGTGTCTGTTTTTTTGGACTAACCACACAGATACCAAAATTGGTCCATAAGAAACAGCGCGCAGTGGAGCTGGGGCAGCATGATCCCCAGGCCAGGACTGGCGCCCTTCCACACCTGGACCTTCAGCTGCTGCTCTGGTCCCTGGAGAGACCACTGTGAGCACCAGCATTGGCTTTGGGAGGAGAAATAAACCCCAGATTGTCAGTGGCATTTACCAAGCTACTGCCTTGAGCCGGTTGCTATTTTTGGTGATCTCTGTGACCAGCTTCTGCAGAGAAGGCATTTCAAGTCTCTGTCTGAAGAAATTGTCATGATTTGTATAAATGTGCATTAATGAGCCATATCCTGGCCAAGACACAGGTTTTTCCATAATGTTTAGCTAATTTGCAGGTAGCATCTACAAACCAGGAGCAGAGGCACCTATAGGGTCTGGGTTGGAGCCCTGACCTGCACAGGCTGCAAAACCATTAAAGCCTGCTCCTGCCCCCTGCCCTGGGCACTCACAGGGGCTTGCTGGAGCCAGGGTGCAAGGGCTGGATCAGAGCCACACTGCCTGGACTTGAATTCTGACTCTTCCACTTTGGAGCTGTGTGACTGTACACAAATCACTTACCATCTCTGAGCCCCAGCTTTTTCATTTGTTAAATGGGAAAACAGTAGGATTTACTTCAGAAATAGGGTCGTATGCCTATAGTCCCAGCTACTCCGGAGGCTGAGGCAGGAGAATGGTGTGAACCTGGGAGGCAGAGCTTGCAGTGAGCCGAGATCATGCCATTGCGCTCCAGCCTGGGCGACAGAGCAAGACTCCGTCTCAAAAAAAGAAAAAAAGAAATAGGGCTGTATGAAGACAGAATGAGTTAATATATGTACTGTATTTACGGCAGTGCCTGGCACTATAAAAGTGCTTATAAAACAAAACCCATAGGCTGGTAGAGATGTGCTGGGCAGACAGGACGCCACCAAGTGTGGCTGTACCCACAGCCTCCTGTAGATGCTCCTGGGCTTTTTGCTCAAAGTGGCTGGGTCCTTCACCTTGTAGTAGCACTCTGTCCTGCATAGCAGCTGATGACGCCCCGGCCCCTGGGATCAGCCCCTGTGTGAGCCCAGGGCTCTTGGAGTCAGACAGCCACCAGGGTGAGTACTCTGTTGGAGGGGCAGTGACTCACAGAGGCAGAGGGCAAAGGACCCTGCTTCCCCCTCCGGGGCCCTGTGCCTGCCCCGGGGAAAGGGGAGTATTGATGGAATCTCCGGATGTTTATAGCTTTTCACACTGGCTATAATCCTCTTTCCCCGTCCCTGCCCCAAGGATTCTGACATTTTCCCCTAGGGAGTGCTTTTCAGAATCCCAGGGAAGTAGCCTGGAGTGTGCAGTTAGGAAAAAAAGCACCTCAAGGAATTCTGCTCCATTTCCATACTATTACTGAGAGCCACAGGCAGGGAAAATATTTGATGTTAGATATTTGATGTTAGAGAAAAAGCATTAGGGCAAAGACTTTTGATGCAAAAATGGCCTGAAGTCTTAGACCTGGTGAGATCCTCTGGAGCCAGGATGAGACCTGGAGACACCCTCTAGCAGGTAGGGCTGGGCCCCCCAGCAGAGTGCTGGGTTCCCAGGCCCTGTACCTGCTCTGGCAGAGCTAGGCAGAGCACAGCTCACTGTCCACCCGGCTTCCGGTCCCAGATCAGATGCTGGTCCAGCAGCTGGACCCTGGCCACAGCTGCTAGACCTGGCAGTGCCCCTTGCTGTCTCTCAGACCAGGGTGGGGTTGTCAGCCCCGAGTGTGGGTGCTCCTCTTGGGTTTCCAGCAGCCCTGCTCTTGGTCTAGCTCCCTTCTGTTTGTTTTATTTTGTCAGTTGCCCTCTACCTTCCTCCAGGACAGGATTGAATCTTGCATGGCTCTCCCCCGGCCGTCTCAGGAGAGCATCTGGAGAGGTCAGCAAGGACCAGAGGGCTCAGGGCCTTGAACGCTGGGAGCTGGGAAGGCCAGACTGTGGGAAGGCCCCTCCTGCCCATGGGCTGCAGGGAGATGGTGGGGGCCTGGTTGTCGCAGGGAGGCCAGGGGCTTGTCTTAGCACGTGATGGCAACCCTCTCTCTACCTTGGCTGGTATGTTACCAGAGGAGTTGACGACGATCATGGAGGGGTCTACATTTCCCACCCCAGGGAACATCTTCCAAATATAAGACACCCAGCCAATCAGAAGGGCTGGTGGGCCATACTCTTGGTGCCAGGCATGGACCTGCTTGTGCCTTATGGAGAAGCCCAAGGGTCCTGGGGTTCAAGGGCAGCCAGGGATCCTCCATGGGGGTTTGGCGGCGGTCATTTTCCAGCTGGTTTTGAAGTGTTTTAGTATTTTTAACAACCAGTGGAGCTATGTTGATGTGCACCAGCTCTGGTTCCCTGAGCCCTCACCTTGGGGCTGCCTCAGGGGAGCCCTGCAGTGAGGTGGCCTTTTCTGGGGACCCATGGGAAAGAGGATAAGGCCTGCATGAGGCTGAGGCAGAGGGGACTGGGAGAGAGTTTGGGCTGGAGAGAGATTTAGAAGGCTAATTACTAATCCAGTGACTGAAGGATGTGGGTGACAGTTTGCAGGGAGGCCCAGATCATTACCTTGGGCTTGTGAGCCATTCACTGAGGAATTTCCAGAGCTTCACAGTTTCAGTAGAGCTAGGAGGAGAGTGTGGAGGTCAGAGGCTCCTGGCTGACCATACCATCGGGATGCTTGGCCTTCATCTAGAGAGAGCCTTGGGGTGGGTCAGGTGTGCCTGTGCAAGTGTGAGTGCAAGTGTGAGTGTGTGTGTGCCCGGTAGGCTGCTGGGGAGTCTTTCTCCTCATTCATCCTCTAAGCCCCGGCCCTGCTCCTCAGTCCCTGGCACTGCCCTCCCCACCCCCACCTGGGCCCCCCACAGAGATCAGCCTCTTGACAACCATCAGCTCTGCTGGAGTAGAGGGAATTTATCCGCTTGGCTGGATCCTCCTCCCTGCCACGGAGGACCATGGCACCTTCAATTACACCAGGTGCAAATTCATTTCATCCAGATTCACAGGACTGGGCTGCAGAGGGCTGTTCTCTGGCTTTATTGCAAAATGCATTATTTTCCTTCCTCTCTCAAAAATATTTATCTATGCTAATTTAGCACTGGAGCCAGCTAAGTTCTGCATGGGGAATTGCCCTATTAATTCTGCCGCCTGGAAATACTGCGCTGAGCTGCAGAGATGTTTCTGCTGCCTCCGGCTGGGCAGTCTCCTCCTTCAGATAGGAACCCCAGGCCAGAAGAGGAGCTGGCTGCCTGATTGGCAGTTTTGAAAGGTGCTGGGGACCTGTGTCTCACATATAAACTCCTTCACAGACTGAACATAAAAAATAACCCTTCACTTTTGGGAGGCTTTGTGGGAAGGGGCCGCCCAGATTTTTCAGGTTGCAGACATTGATTTCATTCTGGTACAGTCTCTACCATTTACCCACTGGGTGACCTTGGACAAATGATGCAACCTTTCTGATTCTCTCTCTCTGCATCTATAAAATGAAACTGATAACCTCACAGGGAGGCTATGAGGGTTATTCATTGGATACTTTTGAAGCCACAGTCACATGGCAGGGGAGTCATAAAGGGGGGTGTTAATGTCATTTGTCTCCAGAGCCACATTTCCCATCTAACAGATGAGGAAGGTGCCTGCCTGACATCCCAGGTGAGTGTCTCAGAGGCCTCTGAACAGCAAGGCCACCCAAGGAGAGCTCCTGAGGGCTCCCACCACATCAAACATATGATTTCTATACTCTACCACCCACCAGCTTTGTAGCCTACAGCCTGCTGTTCCCATATCTTTCTTTTTCTTCACCATCATCCCGACTTACATTGTTTCTATCTTCCTGTCCACTTCCCACACAGCTGTGACTCTTAAAATATAAGTGGGATTGTGTCATCCCACTGGCAGAACTTTTCAGTGGCTTGCCTAGCTCTTGGGGTGAAAGCCAACCCCTGGCCTCTCCCCTTTCCAGCCAAGTCTCCAGCCCGCCTTTCTGTGCTCACGAGGTTACACCATGGTTATGGGTTCTCCCTCCTGACTCTTGGCTTTTGCTGTGCTATTTGCTTGGATTTCTCCCAACATTCGGGTCTGGGTTCCAAAGTCACCTCCCCAGAGAGGGTCCGTCTGGCCTCCCTGCGGGCCCCAGAAGTCTCCGCCTCTCACACCACACTGCTTTCTTTCCTGTAGCACACACGCCTACCTGAGCACTTCTGTTTACCAATTTGTTTGCAGTCTGGGACCTTCCATGTAGGAGGCCCCCAGAGGCAGCCTGCTTCATACCCATCTCCCTCTCCACCTTTCTTTCTAACAAGACTCTCGATGGGTTCAAGTACCCCTCCTGCATGCTCCCAGCAAGTCCTGATGAGTCTAAACCAGCCAAGACAATCCCATTCCTCATGCTAGAAATTGTGGAAGACGCAAATCCAGCCACTGAGATGGGAGGTTGCTTCTGAGAAATGTTTGTTTTTTCTTTCTTTTATTAAGGTATCACACAAAATAAAACTCACCTTTTATACTGCACAGTCTGATGAGTTTTGACAAATGCATACAACCACATAAACACCACTATAATCAAGATATAGAACAAGTTCATCACCCCCAAAACTACCTGTGTAGACACTATCTCCCCTGCCCCGGCTCCTGCAAACACCAAGTTGATTTCTGTCTCCACAGTCTTCTGCTTTTCTGAATGCCTAGGTAGCTTTGTGAATTTGACTTTTTTCATTTGGAATTTGTGACTCAGCCATGTTGCTGCATATATGGGTAGTTTATTCCTTTTGATTGCTGAATAGTATGCCATTGGATGAGGTACCAGAGTTTGTTTATTCATCTGCCAGTTGAGGGACATTTGAGTTGTCCTAGTTTTTGGTGATTATGAATAAAACGTCCATAAACATTTAGATAGAGTTTGTGTGGACATATGTTTTCAGTTAACTTAGGTAAATACCTGGGAATGGAGTTGCTGGGTCATATGGTAGACGTATGCTTAGCTTGATAGGAGACTGCCAAATTGTTTTCCAAAGTGGTAGCCTATTCTGCATTTCCCCTAGCAGTATAAATATATGGAAGGTTAGCTGCTCAACACCCTCACAGGCACTCCGTACTGTGAGGTTTTTGTTTTTTTTTAAATTTTAGCCTTTCCAGTATGTATGTAGACACATATGTCTCATCGTGGTGGCTTTAATTTACATTTCTTTAATGATCCTGAGTGTCTTTTCATGTGTTATTTGCCATCCGTATATCTTTTCTGATGAAGTGTCTGTTTAGATCTTGTGCCTATTTTTAAACAGAGTTCTTTGTTTTCTTATCATTGAGTTTTGGGAGTTCTTTGTATATTCTGGACATAGGCTTTTTATCAGACACGTGATTTGTACCTACTTTCTTTCAGTCTTTTCATGCTGAACTGTGACTTTCAAAGAATAGAAACTCTTAATTTTGATCAAATCGAATCCATCAGTTTTGTCTTTTATGGAATGAATTGATTTTGGCATTTGCTTAACCTAAGGTCATAGAGACTCTCACTTAGGCTTTCTTCCAGAAGTTTTATTGTTTGAGGCTTGCACTTAGTTTTAAGTTCTGTTTTGAGTTAGTTTTTTCATATGGTTCAAGACATGAATTGAAGTTGTTCTCCCCTCCTCCTCCCCCTTCTCATTGCATCCGGGGATGTCTAATTGTTCCAGCACCATGTGCTGAAAGGACTATCCTTTCTCCATTGAATTGCCTTTGCACCTTTGTCAAAAATCAATTGGCCATAAATGTGTGGGTCTATTTTTGGACTCCGTTATGATCCATTGATCTATGTATACATCCTTTCTCCTACACCATGTTTCTTGATGATGGTAGCTTTATAATAAGTCTTGAAATCAAGTAGTATGATTCCTTTTTGCTCTTCTTTTAAAAATATTGTTTTAATTATTTTAGTTTCTTTGCTTTTCCATTTCAACTTTAGAATCAGGTTGTCAGTTTCTATAAAAATCCCACTGGGATTTGACTGGAATTGCATTGTATGTATAGATTAGTTTGGGGAGACTTGACGTTTTAACAATACCAGATCTTTTAATCCAGACACATGATTACCTCTTTCAATTTCTTTAGGTCTGTGATTTCTTTCAAATGTGTTTTATAGTTTTTAGCATGCAGATTTTGAATATATTTTTTAAGATTTATACCTAAGTATTTTATAATTTTGATGCTATTATAAATGACACTTTTAAATATCAGCTTTGAATTATTTATTTTTAGCATATAAAAATAGAACTAATTTTTGTTTATTGGCCTTGTATCCTATGGTCTTGTTAAGCTCACTCATTAGTTCTAATAACTCTTTTTTAGATTCTTTGGGTTTTTTTTTTTACATAGATAATTATGTCATCTGTAACTTTCTTTTTTGAGACAGGGTCTTGCTCCGTTGCCCAGGCTGGAGTGCAGTGGTGCAATCATGGTTCACTGCAGCCTCAACCTCCCAGGCTCAAGCAATCCTCCCACCTCAGCCTCCTGAGTACCTGGGACCACAGGTGCACACCACCATGCCCAGCTAATTTTTCTATTTTTTTGTAGCCATGTTGCCTAGGATGGTCTTGAACTCCTGGGCTCAAGGAATCTACCCTCTCCGGGATTATGGGCATGAGTGACTCCTGGCCCTGCATTTTTTTCAATCTGTATGCCTTTTATTTCTAAGTTTTGCTTTATTGTATTAGCTAGAACTGCCACAACAATGTCAAATGGAAGTAGTGAGAGTGGACATCCTTGCGTTGTTCATGACCTTAGAGGAAAGTATTCAGCCTTCCCCCATTAAGTGTTGAATTAGCTGGAGTTTCTTCATGGATGCCTTTTATCAGGTTGGGAAGGTTTTTAATCATGCATGGATGTTGAAGTGTTTTACTGTTCTTAAAAGGAGTCGGAAGGAAGAAACTCTGTTCTCTGGAACATTTTTGTACCTGGTTATGATGATTGGAACTGTGGCAGCCATTTTGTGACCAGGAAGAGAGCTAGTTTGAGGAGCAAAGTCAATCCATTGATAATGGGAAAGTGGAGAGATGGGAAAAACCAGACTTTCCATCATTGGTCTATTGAATTAACCAATCCTGGACCTTCCTTTACCACCAGAATTCTTGTCATATAAGAAAATATGGCCGGGTGTGGTGGCTTATGCCTCTAATCCCAGCACTTTGGGAGGGTGGGGCAGGAGAATGGCTTAAGCCCAGGAGTTTGAGCAGCCTGGGCAATGTAGTAAGACCCCATGTCTATTTTTAAAAATTAAAAAAAAAAGACATTAAATAGCTCTATTGTTTAAGCTTTGTTGTGCTGAGGTTTCATCCCTTGCAGCTGAGAGCTGCTAAACTGATACACACGAACACTCGAAGGTAGGAATTTGTTTTCTCACGGCTGCCCCATGCCTAGGATGGTGCCTGGAATATAGTAGGTGCTTGCTTAACATTTGCTGCAGAAATAAATGGAGGCCAGGGACTGAGGCATTTGCATTCTGAGAGTCAGTTTTGCTTCAGTCTGGTGGGAAGCCCTGGGGAGACAGGGAGAATTCTTTAGAATGTGTCATGTGAAGGGAAGATGACTGCTCTGAGCTTCGGAAAGGAGACATCAGACACTTAAGCAGGAATGGACTGGGTTTAAAATCAGGTCTCAGTCTTGAAGTGTGAAAGTGAAAAAAGAGGGGAAAGAGATGTAGAAAGAGCCAGAGGAAGACAGGAACTGCTCTGGGAGAGCCTTGTTCAAATTCTCCTTTATAGGTTTGAAAGCCCAATTTCTGCCATGTAAGGAATGATATATTTTTCGTTTCTGGGAGTAGCAGCCTAGGAGACTTGTTCTTTAGTCACGAGCCCTGTTTCAGAAGATAAACTATACAGATTGCAACAAGGAAAGAGGACATGTAATGCTTGCAAATTTCCTGTGCAAAGTTGCTGTCTGCCTAGAAATTATGCTCACTAGCAGTTTAATGTTTCAGTTAGAGAATACTTCCAATGAGGTAATGCAGCTATGACTGGGTGTCACCTTGCCCATCCTCCCATCCTCCCCGGCCCTGGGGAGTAATAAGCGGGGTCAGAATGCCCCCATCCCACCCTGGCTTGTAGCAGCTGCCTGGGGGTGCCCCAGTGTATGTGGGGGTGGGCAGTCCTTTCTCTGTCACCATCCTCTGCACATCCCCTGTGAGAACAAGTGAATCATGCCACATTGGAATGTTCTGAACTACTCTGACTTATTCTTTTGGTTGGACAGTGTAGGGGTTTAAGCTGGGAGCTCAAGGCAGAGTGGGTTCAAATCTCAGCTCTCCCACACACTGTCTGTGGGCAAGCCATATTGAAACAGGAGAGTTCCCTGGCCCCCCTTGTAGGATGTGCGACAGGGGTGTGTCTCTCTATTGGGCCACCAGGAGCTCAAACCCTTTATGGCAGGGGAGGGGAAGGGGGAGCATGCAGACAGGCAGGTGCAGGAACCAGGGCAAGGGCTTTTGGGCTTGGACCCCATGGCTGGCCATCACTGATCTGCTGGTCTGCTGGTCTCTCCTGGAATTTGGGATTTGGGGTTTATATTGGGGGCAAGATAGGGGGCATTGTGGGCCAAAAAGGCAACTTTTGGGGCACGAAAACAAGAAAGCCTGTTCTCATTTATTGACCTGGGAATCCAGGCTTGAGGGTGGGGCCTTTGCTGGGAAACCACTCTCTTCTACCTACTACTTCCTTGTCTCCTGTTCGGAACAGTATTTATGTCGGGCAAATCATTTATCCTCTCTGCACCTCTGTTTCCTCATCTGTAAGAAAGGGGGATACCATCAGTGCCTACCCCAGATGACCAAATGAGGATTAATCTATGTGGTTAGGACCCTGGGGCTTGCTGTTATTCTCCCTGGCAGAGGGTGACAGGGGCCCAAGGTTATTGCATGGGGAAGAGGAAGTGATTCCAGACAGTGACTGGGAGTGATTTCCACAGTGAGGCCAGAGCCCAGGAGGCCCCAGCATTGAAGACTGGGGGTCAGAGACAGCCGTGGGTGGCACCCCCTTGGTGACCTTGAGGGCTGATGTGTGTTCAGACAAATATGGGACAGAGGCGTGGGGACTCCAGACCATGAGTGAGCCACAGGAGGCATCGAAGTGGGAATCCCAGGTGAGATGGGGGCTGGGGAGGGAGGGCAGGTGTGGTCTGTGCCCAGAGGTAGCAGGGTGCCAGGGAGATTCATGAAGTTAGTGAACTAGAAATGCTGTGCAGGGAAGTCGGGTAGGGCCACAGTCATCGCTTCAGACCTGGCCTTGACATCAGAGGCAGGGGAACAGCCTCTCAGGAGGACGAAGTGGGCAGGACTCGCTCTGAGGATGGATCCTTCCACCAGTCCCTGAAATCCCTGACCTCTGGGATTGGGGAGAGGGTTAGGAACACCACTGCCCAGCCATAATGGACAAGGAAAGGGAAGCGAAGGTGAGGAGCCTCCAGCAAGGAACTTAGCCCTCCGTGCAGACCAGAGAGGCTGGTGAGAGGCTGTCAGGCCTCGTCTCTGAAGGGCCAGCTCTAGCATGAGTATCTGTGGGGAAAAGCAAGAGAGATCAGATTGTTACTGTGTCTGTATAGAAAGAAGTAGACATAGGAGACTCCATTTTGTTCTGTACTAAGAAAAATTCTTCTGCCTTGAGATTCTGTGACCTTACCCCCAACCCCGTGCTCTCTGAAACATGTGCTGTGTCAAACTCAGGGTTAAATGGATTAAGGGTTGTGCAAGATGTGCTTTGTTGAACAAATGCTTGAAGGCAGCATGCTCCTTAAGAGTCATCACCACTCCCTAATCTCAAGTACCCAGGGACACAAACACTGCGGAAGGCCGCAGGGACCTCTGCCTAGGAAAGCCAGGCATTGTCCAAGGTTTCTCCCCATGTGATAGTCTGAAATATGGCCTCGTGGGAAGGGAAAGACCTGACCGTCCCCCAGCCCGACACCCTTAAAGGGTCTGTGCTGAGGAGCATTAGTATAAGAGGAAGGCATGCCTCTTGCATTTGAGACAAGAGGAAGGCATCTGTCTCCTGCCCGTCCCTGGGCAATGGAATGTCTCGGTATAAAAGCCGATTGTACGTTCCATCTACTGAGATAGGGAAAAACCGCCTTAGGGCTGTTAGGGCTGGAGGTGGGACATGCAGGCAGCAATACTGCTTTGTAAAGCATTGAGATGTTTATGTGTATGCATATCTAAAAGCACAGCACTTAATCCTTTACCTTGTCTATGATGCAAAGACCTTTGTTCACGTGTTTGTCTGCTGA
This sequence comes from Homo sapiens, assembly GCF_000001405.40. Taxonomy (NCBI): domain Eukaryota; kingdom Metazoa; phylum Chordata; class Mammalia; order Primates; family Hominidae; genus Homo; species Homo sapiens. The sequence continues at coordinate 127,411,895 of NC_000003.12, read as the reverse complement.
CCCTCTCCCCACTATTGTCTTGTGACCCTGACACATCCCCCTCTCGGAGAAACACCCACGAATGATCAATAAATACTAAGGGAACTCAGAGGCTGGCGGGATCCTCCATATGCTGAATGCTGGTTCCCCGGGTCCCCTTATTTCTTTCTCTGTACTTTGTCTCTGTGTCTTTTTCTTTTCCAAGTCTCTCGTTCCACCTTACGAGAAACACCCACAGGTGTGGAGGGGCAACCCACTCCTTCAAGTATCCAGGGAAGGTTTGGGGCTAGGCTGGCTTGGACACAGTGCTCTCTCCTGGATCTGGGCACCTGGCAGTGTGATTGTCCCAGGGAGGGCCACATGCTGGGAGAGGGTGGGGCCAGCTGCAGAGGAGGGGCAACTGCTGAGATTAGGCCCCTGGGGAAGCTACCCAGCTTATCTCTATGCAGCAGGCAGAGAGAAAGGTCCTCTGGACCAAAATGAGCTAGGTCTGCCAGAGTTCTAATGATAACGGTATCCTATTTCCATTTGCCATTGTTTCCCATGTGTATACTTTCCTCAGAGCTGCTCAGTGTGGTGTGGGGACCTGGGAGGTGGGAAGCCCCTGTCCCTGTAGATGCTCAGCCGGCTCTGGTTGGCTCTGGCTGGGCTTTGTGCACCAGCAGGAAGCTGTTCCTCAAGGGCCCCATGATGTCCCTTTGCAATCTCAGATCCTCTGGTTCTTTTGACAGTCTCCCTTCCTTTGGTGCACTGAGCAGGTGGAAAGTTCCCCAGAGCAGTAAGGTTGTCATCTTGAGAGGACAAAATGAACAAGGTCTCCAGGGCACCATGTAGACTTTGCTGCCTTAGCAGAGATCTCTCAGGGACTCACTCCTGTGTGCCAGCTACCCCCTTTTCCCGAGGACAGTCAGAGCCTTGCTGAACTTCCTCGGAATCTGTGTGGATCTGCTCTGGGTGGGTGGAACAGCCCAAGATAAGGCTGGAGAGACGTGCGGGCCCTGCAGTAGTCCACCTCTGTGCCCAGGCAGGCCGGGCTGAGAACAGTGGGGATGAGAGTGTGCAGGCCTGGGCATCTGAGAGTGCCTTGTGCTGGCCTGAGCACCAACCAGCTCTTTGCCCCATTTTACCCTGACAAGAGCCCTCAAAGAAAGCACCAAGAGTACGGCTATTGTCTTTCATATGAGAGGAGGCCAGGTCCCAGAGTGGGCTGGTGGCCACCTCCTGGTGACGCTGTGGATCTGAGACACATCTTTCACTCCTTGCTCCTCCTTTCTGATGGTCATGGCTAGGTTCTTCTTCTTCAACAGTGGGGATGGTCTAGGATCTCTTCTCCCAAACAGAAGTCACTCTAGGTCTCATAAACAGGTGATTTGATACAGGGAAACTGGTAACCAAACTGGCTGGTGACTTAAGCAAGCCGGAGATTCATGACTGCTGTCCCACAGAGAGAAGGCAGTGTCACCAGAGCCCAGAAACCAGGGCACCTTTCGGAGTCATGGTAGAGGCTTCTGCATGGGAGCTGCGACCATGGAAGGGGGTTCAGTTTGGCGGAGCCCCAAACTGAGCTAGAGTTATGAAGGAAACAGCACTGCCAGAGGTGCTGCCAAGACTGAATAGGGAGAAACACCTGGCTATCTTCCTCCTCCTGCCCGCCAGCCTCTATCAGTGCCTTCCCGTAGACATACTTTCAGGAAGCCAGAGGGCAAGGCAATGCCCTACGGTACAGAGCAGGGCAAGGAATGAGATTTGCAAAGAGCAAATCTCAGATGTAGTGTCCAACATCCCCATGACCAGGCATAGTCCAGGCCCAGCCTCGGACCAGGGCCAACCCCAGCTCAGTGGTTCCTATGCGAACCGTAGGCCATGTTAGCCTTGTGCTCTGAGCTCTGAGTTACATGGCAGGCAGATGAACAGGAAGACAATCTGGGAAGCCCCACCGTGGGGCCAAGAGGGCACCACCCATTTCCATGCATACCTGGACTCCAAGCCTGGCTCCTTCACGCCTTAGCTGGGTGGCTCTGACTGTCACAAAGGAGCTCCAACACCTCCGTGAGTGTCAGTTGTTCTCATCTGTTCAATGGGTTTACTGTGCCTTCATGGGTATATTATGGTGAGGACTAAACGAAACAAGACCCTGTGTGAAATGTCCTAGCACTGCCCTTCTCTTCCTTTGGCCAGGGGCTGCTTAGAGCAGCAGCAGTCCTTCCATGCAGCTGTGGGCTGGGAGGCCAGCAGGGAATTCAGCTCCAGCAGGCAGGGCTGCCAGCTGCAGGGCCTGCCCTGACCTCAGAGGGGGCAGCCACCACGGGGGCCGGGGGACAGGAGGCTGCAGCTGCAGGCCCCATCTGTCAGTGGTGGATGTGGGGTGAAGGGAAGGGGATGAGCTGGGGAGGGAGGTAGGGAGACAAAGGAAGGGGAGAGTAAGATAAATGAGCAGGGAGCACCAGAGGGTGGGCTGCCTTCTTCCTGGAAGCCACCCTCCCTTCCTCTGCTCCCTGGTGGAAATGTCACAAGGCAACCTCTTAAAGACATAGAAAGGATCTGTAAAAGTCGGCAGAGAGAGAGAGAGAGAGTTGTCCCCCGAAGTGAAGGGACAGTGATACCTGGGACAGGTTGTCTGAACAGGCAGTGGTGGACAGTGGAGTTTGCCAGGGCAGGGAGGGGAGGCCGGGAGGAGGAGGATGGTGGAACTGGCAGTGGTGGAGGTGACAGGGGTAGGACCCTGGAGGCACGGCTCTCACACTAGGCTTTAAGAGGTACTGAAGGGAGTGGAGCATCCCACTGAGCCTGTCCCCACCGCTTCCAGGTAAGCTGGCCCCGAGAGGTTAAGTGACTTTCCCAAGGGTCACTCAGCTAGTTGGTTCTGGAGTCACTCAGTGAGCCTGGCTCCAGAACCCCAAAGACAGGCTGTTGCACCAAAGCACTCACTACCGCTGCTGGTACTTATAGTGCAGCCACCTTGGTGAAGTCTCAGTGGCCATCCTAACAGTCCTGGTCACTGTTTCCCAGGGACGCCCAGGGTTGGCTCATTAACCAGCTGCCTGCACGGCTTGACCCGGTGGCCTGAGCCTTTGCCTCTCTGCACCCTGATGCCCATAGGGGGCGGAGGGTGGTCAGAGAGGAAGTGTGGACTGCCAGCAGTGCATCTCTCCGTTGTCATGGCAACCCGGGCACCGTCTGCACCTGTCACTCATGAGGACTGGAGCTCCTGGGGTGGGGGTGGGGTTTTCAGATGCTTAATCCGCCCAGGCGAGGCTGAGACCCCTGGGCTCGCCCCATCCTCTCTTCCCCTGTGTCCTCAGGACAGTCACGGCCTATTTCCACCCCATCCCCTTCCCGGGCCACATGCCCTGCCCTGAGTGGACGGGGTGGTGGCCAGGCCTGGGTCTGCAGCAGCTTCTGGCCCCATTTTCTGAATGACCTCCCTGGGGATGGTCAGCCTCCTGCGTTTAAACACAAGTCCCTTGCTGCTGGAACTTGTTCATTCAGCCAGAGGAGAGTCTGGTCTGGGTCTCTCCCCATCAGAGTCCCAGTCCTGCACCAGCTGCCTGCTGGGCAGCTCCATGGAGGCCTCAGAGGCTCCAACCTTGCCCTGCATCTGAACAGTGCTGTGGCCTTCTCCGCAGAGCCTGCTCTCCCCCTCCACACTGTCCTCATGGGCACCTTGGCCTCCTCTCTCATCCAGGCGCTGTCTGTCAGCACATTCCGCTGGCTCTACCTTCAAAACACGTCCTCAATCCAACCATTTCTCACTGCCCCACCGCCACCCGCTGTCAGGGCCACCCTCCCGTCCTCCTTGGATGACTGTGACAGCCACCCTGCCCTACCTTCTCCACCCAGCCATGCTCACAAAAGCAGTCAGAGCGGCCCCATTGAAAAGTAAGCAAAGCAAGCATCTCCTCCACTTAAAACCCCACTGGCTGTCACCTTGCAGTGAATAAAGGCCACATTTCTTAGGATTCTGTGACCCATACCCCCACCTTCCAAAAGCCGGTCTGCAAAGCTGTGGGGCTTGCTGGCGCCCAGCCTTTCAGTCCCCATTCCAATATCACCCTCTCCATCAGACCCGCTCCCTTCAAACTGCCACCCCCGACTGCTCCATTTATCCCAAAACATTGTACTAATAATCATTCACTCTTCATGAAGACCACTGCCTCCTGGCTGTCTCCCCGCCTGGGGACTTTGTGAGGCTGGGGCTCTGGGCCCACACAGGCAGTTAGTTAGCATGTGCTCCGTGACTGAGCCCCAGCGGGGGTGGTGCATTCATTTGTCCACTCCAGGGCCTGCAGGGTCTTGGTTTGAGTCACACAATCCAGTGTTTCTGTTAATTTGAAAGTAGAGGCCAACTTTAACCAAAAATCAAGGTAATTGAAACAAAAACCTAGACATCTAAGCTCTCTGGGGAAATGGAGGAATCGGTCCACACTGTGCCCACTCCCATCTGGATGAGTTGGCTGGGGCTGGGCGGAGGTCATCCCCCTTAGGTGGGGCCACGGTCCCACAAGCGCCTGGTGCTCACTGCCAACCCTGTTACTCATGTCCCTAAGCCTCCAGCCCTCTGGGGCTCTGAGTTTGGCTCTCTGATTACCCCAGTCATCTTTCCCCACCTTGCGGTGGGTCCCTTCTGCTCTGTGGCAGGGTCTGCCCAGAGCCATGGGGCAGACTTAGTCTACTCTGGCTTGGGGTAGGAGGTGGTTGCTGTGCAGGGGTGGCTGGAGGCCCAGAGGGTTCTGCATAATACTCACAAGACAGTGATCAGGCAAGGCTCCCAGGGAGGTGGTCTCCGGGGAGAAGTCAGCCTAGGGGAGAGGAGACCATGGAGGAGCTAAGGAAGCCTCTGGGGTGTGGTCAGAGGGGTGGAGGGCTCTGAGAGGAGAGGGCAGGGGCAGGGCGGCCTAACAAAGAGCCAGAAGCCAAATGCCACCAACTGAGCAGCATGGAGGCCCAGCTGCATTCTGCCTCCGTGGGGAGACACTGAAGCCTGCAGCCAGGGATGGGACGTGGTGTAGTCGACACAGAGGTGTCCCTCCCCACTCTTCACATGCCTTGTTGTAGGTGTGCAGTGGAGACCACCTCTGACTGTCAGCTTCTTCAGGGCCGGCTTTGCCTGAGGCCATGCCCTCCTGAGGGCTCTAGGGGATAAAGGCCCCACCATTTCCATCTGCTTGGGGCACTGAAGGGCTTGTTCTGTCTGGAGCTCCCCTCTGGGTTGGCTGAGCGTTCTCGATTTTGCATTGCAGACTGACTTCTCCCTCTGCCCAACATTCCCCCACCAACCCTTCTTCTCACAAGGGTTGATCCCTAATAAACATCTTTCACCCCAAACTCATCTGGCCGGTGGGCCGAGGCAGGCTGGGGAGGAGGGTACACTGTGAAGTCAGGAGGTAAGCTGGGAGGTTCCTGCACCAGCTAGAGCCGAGAGGAGGAGACCTGAGTCATGCCATGGAAGACCAGAAAGTTTCAGCAACAGTGGATCACGTGGGGTTCAGCCCCCTGCTGGTGAGGTAGGAGCGACCTGAGCGCAGGTCCTGCCTCCACAATTTCCTGGTGACTCTGGGAAGCTCCCTGTACCTCTCTGAGCTGCAGCGATTGTATCTGTAAAATGGCAAGAATAGGGATGATAACTGTCTTGGGGGGTGGTTGTGAGAGTTCAATTGGATAATAGACTCAAGAAGCTCAGGCAGGGCTTGGTATGCAGTCTGCACCCTTTTTGTAAAGGTTGTATTGACAGGTTTGGTATCAATCATAGAACCCCAGAGTCAATCATCAATATAAACATCTGAGCAATGTGAGCCCCTCTCAGCCCTGGTGTGGCCCTCGGTTGAGGGAATTCCCACCGAAAGCAAAAGACCTATTGTGGTCTTTTCCTCCACAAATGAGTGGGGTATTTTGAAGTACTGGGAATTGGTTGGGGACACACATTGCTGTCTTCGTGGAGCCTGAGCGGGTCGGGGATCCGGGGCCGAGGGAAACGTTGCCAGAGGGCTCAGGAGGGTCTCCAGAGGCCAGTGAGATCCCAGCCCAGCAAGTTCCCAGGTTCTTGATACCGTCCAAGAAAGAATTCACAGAGGAGTTAGAATGAACCGAGGGTTTGGGTTTCTAATTTTATGGGTGTCTAATCAGTGGGTGGAATAATCACCAGGTATTCTGGAAAAGGAGGGGATCTCAGGGACCCCCAGTTACTGCCCCTTTCTCTCTTATTTGGGTTTGTCTGGAAATCCAAATAAGACACAGACATGTTATGGACGTGTCACCGTGACCAGGATTTGGGCCGTTTTCTCTCCCTTATTTTGGGTTTTTGGTTATTTTGTGGTTTCTTTACCCTGTTCTCGTTTTAGCTGTTGTTTGGGTTTCTCCATCTTCCTGTGACCACCTGGTGCTACTCCTATCTGAGAAACACTGGTCATGTCTTTCTAGCTCTCAATTGCCACTGATGGGCCTGAGGGGTGTGTGTGGGGTATGAGCAGGCTCCAGCTTGGCTCTGCAAAACTGACTTCTGAGGGGTTTCTGGTAGTCATGAGTCCCAGCAGGGCATGTGATTGGGCACCTGGACGGCCGTGCCCTTTATTAAGCTACTGAAGTCTTTGCACACAGCAGGGTAAAGAGCCACTGCCTGGAGCTCCTTGAGTGTGGCTCCATTCCAGACTCTCCCAGGCATTCCATCCACCTTCCTACTCACCCAAGGTGAGTGGATGAATGCCTGGCCCCAGGCCCCTGAGTGGCTGGTGTTCCTGCCAAGATGTCACAACTGTCTGCAGGTTGCCTGTGGGACCATTCCTGCAGCTCATTCCAGGAATGTCCTGCCGCGCTCTGTGCTACCGGGGACATGGAGCCGTGGTGGCACACAGCTGTGATTCTGTTCTCCCGAACCACATATCCACTGGGGGAGGAGGAGAGCCCAGAGGAAATCCGGAGCACTGTTTTTAGAAAGAATATCGTCACCAGCACTTACTGAGGGGCTTTCCTTGAGCCTAGTGTTGTTCTTAGCGCTTCCCCTGTGCTGTCAGATTCAAGCTGCCCACACTCAGTGGGGTGGGGGCCGTCATCATTTTACTTATTCTCACTCACGTTCTGGGTGAGGGTCACACAGCTAGTGAGTATGGAGCAGGGACCAAACCCAGGCAGTCTGCTTCCAGAGACCATGCTCTTGGTGACAAAGGCCTGGCACAGCAGCGTAGAAAAAGGCCAGGTGTCTTGCCCAGGCATTCCGAGGCTACAGATGATCTGGCATAGCTCCTGACACCTGGGAGCTGCCCACTGGGCTTCCCTGGCCCCTCTGGGCCCAACCAGGCATCAGAGGGGCCCCCCAGACCCCCCAGGCTTCTGTTTCTTTCCCCTGCACCCTATCACTGCCTGTTTGGAGATCTTGACAGTAGATGAAGTGACAAGTCTTTGTGCTTAATTAAGACACATTGTCCCACCAATTGGGAAGCAGAAATGGCTGGGCTGTTTTACAAATAGAAACAATTCTTGTTCATTATCCCTTAATTGAGGCAACAAAGGGCTCTGGAAAACATCCATCAGAACACATTCATGAACATTAGCAGAGAGGATTCGGTTTAGGACCACACAAAAGGAAAAGCAAATGTTCCAATCAGGAGTTATACAGACAAAGGGAAACAAAGGCCTGGAAGCACAAATACTACAGAATTAGCCCAATTACACACTTGATGTGGTGGGGAACAAGTTTCCTGGCTTCTGGCCAGCTCTTCTCTTTGCCTCTTGTTACCTTCTTCCTTTTCCCTGGTACCAGATGGAGAGGGGCAAGAAAGGAACCTCAGAGACCCTCTGCGAACCTGGCTTTGGTCCCCAGGTTGGGGAAGTGATGGGTTAACAGAGAGTCTTGAGGGACCCAAAACTAATCTGAATTCCAGATGTGGTCTGCCTGTAATTGTCACCTCCTTCATTTTGGTCACTATACTTCTTGTGATGCAACCTAAGATACTCTGTCCCAGTATGGATTTTAAGGTCAGCTTGTGGTTGGCTAAAGCTGCTGAACTGTTTTTACAACTTTTTTTTCAGGCTGGGTATTCCCCATCCTATATTTACACAATTGCATTTTGGGGTCCAAACAAGGAGTTTATATCCATTCTTGTTTGTACCAGCGCATTTGTCTGGTCACTCAGTGGAGTTGAGTGGATGTGGCCTCCTGGGACCACTACCCAGAACTATTCTTGGAAGCAAGCCTGCTTGTCTCTCTCCTCCAGGTTCTCTTGGGAGCTAGGTAAAGAGAAGCTTGCACACGTTAAGATAGGAAAAGCTTTTAAAAAATCGTTCCTGATTGGTTAGGAAATGACTGATCCTTGTGTCAGAGACATTCGAACCAGGGCAACTCCATCTCGAATGGTGCTGGGTAAAATGAGGCTGAGACCTACTGGGCTGCATTCCCAGATGGTTAGTCATTCTAAGTCACAGGATGAGATAGGAGGTCGGCACAAGATACAGGTCATAAAGACCTTGTTGATAAAACAGCTTGCATTAAAGGAGTCGGCTAAAATCCATCAAAACCACGATGGTGACAAGAGTGACCTCTGGTCATCCGTCCTCACTGCTACACTCCCACCAGTGCCATGACAGTTTACAAATGCCATGGCAATATCAGGAAGTTACCTTATATGGCCTAAAAAGGGGCGGCATAAATAATTCACCCCTTGTTTAGCATATTATCAAGAAATAATTATAAAAGTGGGCAACCAGCCTCCCTCAGGGTTGCTCTGTCTATGGAGTAGCTATTCTTTTATTCCTTTACTTTCCTAGTAAACTTGCTTTCACTTTACTCACCCTGAATTCTTTCTTGCTCGAAATCCAAGAACCCCCTCTTGGGGTCTGGATCGGGGCCCCTTTCCGGTAATATCTTTCTTGCGACCACTGAAGAGACTATAGTGCCGAAACCCCGACCCAAAGGCTAACTTTGGGTGAGTGGTGGGGTCTGGTAATATCTTTCTGGTGAACCACAGAAGGGACGATACTGAAGAACAACCCCCACATCGCCCCCCTCCCACCCCCGCAACCATCTGAAGGAAATAGACTGCAGCACTGATTGGCTGACTTTGGGTAAGTGATGGTGTACCCAGGTAAAGGGTGGGATTGGGTTAGAGGCCCAACTTAGGGGAGTTGGAGTCTAGCCTAAGACACAGGGTTAAAGGCTCTTCCCGATAAAAGGCAAGGACGCTTGACCAACCTTGGGTTTGAGGACCAACTTAGGAGGGTTAGAGTCCTTCCTAAGACTTAGGGGGTTAGAGGCCCTTTTCAGTAAAGTCCCTCTTGGCTAAGAACAGGTTTGGCACTATGGGATGGCAACTGCTATTCTCTTGGATGAATCTGTCTTGGACTCTTTGCTGATGGTAATGGGTGACAGGGTTAGGCATGTACAGGATCGTGGGACATGGGGAACTTTTTCCTCCCTAAAAGGGGAAACTTGAGAACTGATGGGACTGCTGGAAAAGATCCCTTCAGGACTGAGAAGCAGCTGCCTGAACTTTTCAGTGTTGCTGCAATGGGTGGCTCTTTCCCTGGCCTCCCTGAGTGCCTCGCCTTCCCCACCCTGCGTCAGGTAAAGCTTCTCTCTCTCTCTCTGTGCAAACTGGTGGAATGAATGGTAAAAATCACCGTTTATCTCCTCTGTAAAGTTTTGATTAATGGAAAAAAGGATTTGTGAGGCTAGTCTTAAGCTGTAGTGAATCTGGTGTGCTTTGTGTGTCTTTCTGTATGGTTCTGTCATGGAGAGGGATACCTTAGGATAGAATGTGGGCCTAGGACACCTATAAGTCCACTGTTCAAGACAGCCTAGCAAACTGGTCAGTTACAAACTTTGTTGCTGGTCCCTAAAAAAAAAAAAAAAAAAAACTGGATGAGGTTTCCCTCTTGTCTTGCATGTCTTTGGGAGCTTGACCTTGTAACCTTTTGGCCATGCTTTCTCTTTTCACAATGGAGGCCTGGATTCAGGGTTCAATCGCTAGCTTAAGGGATGAGCCTTTCTGATTGATATTTGGGTGTCCTTTGCAATTTTAAAATTCTCTTTCCCTCCACAAACCGTCTTAAATTTTCCTTTCTCAGAGCCCCTGTGAGGTTACTTTTGGTAAAGTTTAAAAGCCAGAAATATCGGTCATTTGGCCTGGCTAACGTCGGGTAATAAGAAATTTAAAAGGACTTTTCAAAAGAATGCGATAGTCAAAAGTCAGCTTAATTAAAAGCAGATATTCAAGTTCTAACAGCCCTAGGGATTCCTTAGGAAAAACAGAAGAGGCACTAAAGACCCCGTTTTGGGAAAAACCTGTTTTCCTCATGAAACCTTAGGAATTGAAAGTGAATAGATCCCTTTCAAAACCTAAGGTTCTGTTTTGTTTTGTATTGCGTTATCTGATGTTTTTTTACTTTTGGTGGTATCAGAAGTTCCTTCGCATTATGAGAGAACTTTGGTGTGTAGTAAGTAGGCAGGAAATATACTTTTAGGGATGTGTAATAGCAGTTATGGGGGAAACTTGGTTTTCACACATTTGGATCAGAGAAGCATGATCTTGGCCACCTGGGAAACGTGGAGATGTCCCCACCCGCTACTGAGAAATAAAACTCCCAAGGGTTGATGGGCTAAGTCCCTCTTTTTGGGATCCAGGATCTGGTATAAAAATGGGACCCTTAAATTTTGGGGATCTGTTTTGCCTTCCAGCTGTGCATGCTTATGAGGCCCTAAAAACTGCACACCTTAAAGAGAAACTTAGAAACTGGTGAGTAAAAAAACCTTACAACTACATAATCTTCTGTCTATCTGGGTATTTATATATATTGTGTGTGTGATGTTTATATCTAAAAGAGCTTTACTTAATTGGTTTTAAAATAATAAGAGCTTAAATCAAATATTTTAAAAGAAAAAATTGTAATGCCTTTTAGTTCACATGACTTTAATAATCTTTGGGAAATAAAAACAGCTTTAAAGATTATTGGTAAAATAAAGACATTTGGTCTAAATTAGGCAGGTCAGATCTTAAGTTTGCTAAATGCTTTAAGGTCATAAACTGCTTCTTTGACTTTTAAAAATTGTTCAATTTATTTTGAAGCATTAGATTTAGATAAGGCCTGGGGATGTGGGGTGTTAGCCCTGCCCCCTAGCTGTGCTGAAAAAAGACCGACCTTATCTAGTGTCCTAGGCTCCACACCTAGTACATAATTAAAATTGCATACTTACCAAGGTTTTCACCAAAAGCAAAAGTTACTAAGAGTTAACAGTGTAACATGTATTTGAGGCTACTGAAGAAATGGTTTTACATGCACCGTGTGTAAGAAAAGGGAAATGTGTGTTTGGTAAAAGATTATAAGAAATCATGGGAATGTGGATTTTTCTTGCCTAAATTAAAGGGTTAAAGGATTGTTTTAAGTCAGGTAAGATAAAGCCGAAGGTTTAAGCAAGTTGTGAAAGGTTTGTGAAAAATTAATTGTAAAAGAAATTCTGTGTGTGGACATTGGCTAAAATTAAATGGGTATTATTCAGTTTTCCCGTAAACTGAACATTGAATAACAGCACAACAGGTTTTTCTTAGAGCACTAATCTGCTCTTTAACAAAAAATTGCAAAGGGTTAGAAAAGGTTTATGAGAATCTTATGGTCAAACATAAAATTGGATAGATTTACTTATAAAATTTTATTAAGAATTGGGTTTAACATTAATAGCACACTAATATAAAGGTGAAATTTGGCTTATTTGGTATAAAAATCATACAGAAAGCACTGTCAAATATGAAATAGTATTTGGCTTTCTTTGAGCTATATTTGTATAAATATGTTATTGGTATGTGTTTCAAAATAATGGGAAACTCCTATAATTCTCTTACGGCTTAGTGTAGGTTATTAATAATTATAATTGTTACATAAAATCATTGTATGCCACAGAAGTAACCAAATTTCTTTGTCAATCGTGTTTTTTACTGTGGCTGTCCTAAAATGTTTTGTCATCCATGGACAACTGTTGCTTTGTTTTAATCCTCTTTAGAAGGTGGTTTATAATCAGCTATAAACTCTAATAGGTGTTCTTAAATGCAGGTTTCTGATAACTTTGGAAACCGTGATATTAGAATAGAGGAAAAAACTTTCAGGACGTTCATGGAGAGCTGAAATGTTCATGAATATCCAACAAAACAGGAGTTAACTGCATGGACTGAACTTTAACTAGAAGATTAAAGTAATCTTTTTGACTTTTTGCTTAAAACGTTGCTAATCCTTCGTTTGTTTTTCAGAGCCAAGAAAACTTTTCTTTTGAGCTATTTACAGCTTTAAACAATTGAGTAAAGTATATTCTTGTGAAAAAAATTTGAGCATATTTGTTTCTCTCTACCTGATTTCTCCAAAATTCAGAAATTATCTGTGAATAGCTTAACTTGTGGCAATATAGAGAAACTGGCTATTTTACCAAGGCTTTGACTGGAATGGTGTGTTTTCCTTTAAGGAATTAAACTTGACTTAGAGAGCCAATAAAAGGCCCTTGGGAAAAATGGTCTTGTACCTTGTGTACACAGTCCCTGTACAGGGTTCTTGACTTGTGGTAAGTGAAGAATGTCACTTTCTAACAGGCCCAGGAGCCCCAGGTAATCTTGGAACCTCAAGAGGAGCCCCAAGTTATCTTGGAGCCTCAGGAGGAGAGGAATTTACTCAACTCTTAGGTATTTCATGGTACAAACTCATGGCTGGGCTGAGCTTTAAAAAAGTCTTATCTGAGATTCCTTATGGAACAGAGTTCCATCAAAGCCAATTAAAAAGTCTATGTGAAAAATAATTATTCTTGCTGTATTTTATACAAATAATTAGGCCAAGTATACTAAAGCAAATCAGTTTTAACTGTGATTTGTCTTTAGTAAAAATAGGAAACTGGAGAGAGAAATTACCTTTCAAGAACTATGGTACACTTGTTATTAGATTCTAGTCTCATGGGTTATTTTTGAGTTTTTTCCTGCAACTTAGGCTGACCCTACTTATTCCTGTGAACTAACCAGTGATCTTTGGCTGCTGCTCAAAAAAAAAAAAAAACAAAAAACAAAAAAACAAAAACCAAAAAGGATGAGTAATGTAAAAAGTTGGATCAGTATTCTAATTCTGGACACATTGGAATCAGCTAGAAACCCCATATCAGCTTAGTTCCAACAGTTGCCCAGTTTATGGAAAGCCTTCTTATTTAGTGTACTTGGAATAATTTTTACTTATTTTGCTTTACTGTTTTGGAATATATTGCTGTTGTACTCCTTGTATAGGAATGCAAGACAAGCTTACACACGGTTTTCTTAAATTAAACACTTACTAATCTTCAAGATATCACCTTTTGTTGGAACTCAAGAGTTACGAATGGCCCTCAGCATACCAATGCTTTCTGACTGAGCTACTCTCTACCATTAAGACCCAATAGTTGGGCAGGAATATCATTGCCCCTATTCAGCCTGAAGAAGTTATGGAAGATGGGTCTTCATCCTTCTGCAACCCTTAGAATTAAGGATTTTCTTATAACAGGGATAGGGAAAATGTCAGAAGACTTTGAACCAGAGCAACTCCATCTTGAATAGGGGCTGGGTGAAATGAGGCTGAGATCTACTGGGTTGTGTCCCCAGATGGTTAGTCATTCTAAGTCACAGGATGAGATAGGAAGTCAGCACAAGATACAGGTCATAAAGACCTTGCTAATAAAACAGACTGCAATAAAGAAACCAGCCCAAATCCACCAAAACCAAGATGGTGACAAGAGTGATCTCTGGTCATCCTCACTGCTACACTGCTACCAGTGCCATGACAGTTTACAGATACCATGACAATATCAAGAAGTCACCCTATATGGTCTAAAAAGGGGCAGCATAAGTAATCCGCTCCTTGTTTAGCATATAATCAAGAAATAACCATAAAAAATAGGCAACCAGCAGCCTCAGGACTGCTCTGTCTATGGAGTAGCCATTCTTTTACTCTTTCACTTTCCTAGTAAACTTGCTTTCACTTTACTCTGTGAACTCTGTTCTGAATTCTTTCTTGTGTGGGATCCAAGAACCTTCTCTTGGTGTCTGGATTTGGACCCCTTTCTGGTAACACTTGCACAAAACTTGGAAATCACCAGGAAATACAAAAAAGCAGAAGTAAATAAATGGATCCCCCTGAGCAGCAAGTCAGTTTCTGTGAACAATTTTGTTTATTTCCTTCTAGTCTTTCTTTCAAGCACATTTTCCCATTTGTGGTTGAGAACATGCAACCTGTGACCTCCACTCTGTAACCTGTCTTTTCCCCTCTACATTTTAACCATCTGCATTTATTCATGTGATTGGAAACTCTTTCTAATCATCATTTTAGCGACTGCACAATGTTCCATCATATGGATGTGCCATAATTTTTTCCACTCTTCCTTATCCCGGAACATGTGGGTTGTTTCTAGCTTTGTTTATTATGAGTGATTCTGTCTTGGGCATCTTTGTGCAGAGAGTGCTCATGTGTCAGATTAGTTCTCTGAGACAGATTCCTCGCAGTGAAATTGTAGGAGTTAAAATAACTATTTTAAGGGTATTGCTACATATCGCCAAATTACTTTGAAAAAATCTACGCCAATTTATACTCTCACTAGCAAAGTAGGACAGTAGTTGTTCCAGTTTTTTTGTTTGTTTTTTAGAGATGGAGACTTGCTCTGTCACCCAGGCTGGAGTGCAGTGGTGCAATCATTGCTTGCCACTGGAGCTCTTGGGCTCCAGTCCTCCTGCCTCAGCTTCCTGAGTAGCTGGGACTACAGGTACGGTTCCAGTTTTGTAGCACAGATGTTCCTTGAGTTGCAATGGGGCTACGTCCTGATAAACCCACAGTAAATCGAAAATATTGTTAAGCTGAAAATGCATTTAATCCACCTAACCTACTGAACATCAGAGCTTAGCTTAGCCTGCCTTAAACATGCTCGGAACACTTACATCAGCCTACGATTGGATAAAATCATCTAACACACAGCCTATTTTTTTAATAGTGTTGAATAGCTCATATACTGCATACGGCTAGCCCGGGAAAAGATCAAAATTCAAATTCAAAGTATGTCAAAATTATGATGGTTTCACACCATCATAAAGTTGAAAAATTGTAAGTTGAACTATCCTAAGTCAGAGACCATCTGTATTTATTTTGGCAGTATGTATATGCGTGTTGGGGTGTCGAGGGGAGAGTTAGCATATATCTCACGTGTTTATCTGGCTCTAGGAAAGGGAGAAATCGCCCTGCACCCCCACCGCACTACAGGGGGCTTCCTCCAAGCTGCATAATCAGCTGCCTGCTTCTCCCCAGTCCCCGCCCCCTCTGCATTCCTCCCGATTTGCCTAAACCTGGTGTAAACTCTGTCCCTCTCCTGTGACAGTTCAACCCTCACTCCTTTTTCCTGTCTGCCCCACCCTCCTTGGAGGCTGGGTCTATTGTTCCAGGACACCCACGCACTGTGTTCAAATCCTTCTCCTGCCCCCTGCCCTAACGTCTGCCTGTGTGACCTGGGCAAGTTATTTCATCTCCCTGTGCCTCCGTTTCTTCCTCCGTAAATGGTGATAAAAATCGTGCCTACCTCCTTGGGCTGTTGTAAGAATTAAAGGAATTCAACATATGTGAAGCATGAGCACATAGTAAGCACTGATTTGTGTTGGAACCATCTGCTTCCATTGCGGGGGGTTTGTAGACTTTATTGTAGGTTTGGGTCCCGCAGGGAGCCTGTGGCCCTGTCTATCTTCTACCTCTCTGCGTTCCCAGCAGGGCAAACAGAGTGGGCCCTTCATCCTCCACAAGAGCAGCTTCTGTGGTGACACCAACGCCTGGTATGCGGATGCAGCTCCAGTAAGCTCTCCGTACCTCCCACCCTTTGAGCCCAAAAGTGATTGTTTGTCATCACCCCAGGCAGGTTTTGGGGAAGCTGACAGCAGAGAATGGCTAGCAGGATCATCGGACAGCTAGATGTTCTCAGGGCAGCTGGGTCCTGCCTTTTGCAGGCAGAGAGGAAACAGTCTCCAAGTCAGAGGCTCCCAGAGGAGTGCTTGGCGGAGGCTCCTGCTGTCTTGCACCACCCAGGGAGACAGCCACTGGGCCCTTCCTTTTAGGATGCCAGCGGTTGTGGTCCTGACCCATGTGGAGAGTGGTCAGGCCAGCAGGGGATGGACTAGCCAAGTCTGTCTAGGGGAGCCAGGTGCTCAGGGGATGGGTTACCCAAGGGCTAATAACTGACCAAGCCTTTCAGATGATGCAGTCTGAGGCCAAGCACTCCCTTGTATCTCAGACCTAGAACTGGCCTCCCTGTCTGCCAGCCACTTTCACTGTTTAAGCATGAAGGATTTAGCCCAGGTGGGTAGGGGGAGTGGCTCTCAGCACGATCTCCAGGACTGCCCCACGGTGGGCCTGCCCTCCTGCCATCACAGGGAAGCCAGGGAATCTGAAAGCCCGGATGTTCCTGCTGGAACCACACCAGCAGGCCTCGAAAGTCCCATTGCTACTCTTAACCCTCGGAGCTGTGACCATGTGCACTCAGGCAAGATGTGATGTGGACAGCAGGAGGGAGGCCCCAACAAGCTCTGCTTTCACTGAAAGGCTCGTCATGGAGACACTGGGTTTCGGCTGCAGCAAAAGCACCGGCAGGGCCTCTTGCTCTCTTCTGTGTTCTGGATCTCAGCCTGTGCATGTGAGTGGCTGAAGCAGAAATCCTACCCAGAACTGGTACTGTGAGGGAGCCTCGGAAAGGCTGAGCCCACCTCCAGCTTCTGCGTCGTGGGGAGCACAGCAGAGGATGTCTTTCTCCACCTGCTTCATCCACCCAAGTGCTGCCGTCCCGCCATCGAGGGGCATCAACTGTCCTCTCTGCCTTAGTGACATCTATCTCCTGTGACAGACAGGATCATTTGCTCCCAGGGTGGGGTAGTGTCAGGCCCGGGGGAATTCAGACCAAGACCTGCTCCCCTCTGCCTCTCCCTTGGTAAAGCTGGGAGAACATCTCTCCCTTTTTCTTGTACTTTTCTCACAACCAGGTCCCTTGGACTCTTACCTTCAGCACCAGTGCTCTTAAAAATATTTCCTGCAAACAGAGACAGTGCTGTCCCCAAGAGGAATTCTGGAGATGAAAAGATTTTCCATCTCATTACAGGTGTAATTGCTCTTTTCTCCCTTTGTTTGCAAGCCATACAAATGCGCACAGAAGGCTTACACAAGAAAAGGAATTTACTGGCTCATAGAACAAAAAAGTCTGAGGTGGACTTTAGGTGTGGCTGGATGCAGGTGCTTCAGTGATGTCATTGGCCCTCTCTCTTTTCTCCTTGTCTCTGCTCTGCTTTCCTCCACAGTGCTCAGGAAAAAAACTCCCAAAGAGGTGGCAAAAATGGTCATTATCAACTCTTTGTTTTCATTTCACAAGATTGGTCATCCCAGCAGAAAGAACATGTCTGCTTCCCAAGAATTTTCACCAAACTCCCAGAGTGGATTTTTATTGGCCCAGCTTAGGTCAATATCCCTAAGTCAAACACTGATTGGCTGGGCCTGGATCAGGTGCCTGCCTCTGATTGCACCGTGGTGGGTCCCATCTGGCCCCCCGAATGGAGGATGATGGACAGATGCTGTTGCCACATGGTCAGCTGCGATTGTCTCCACTGCAACTGCCCAACCTCTGTCCCAGTCACTGGATCCATCCTCAGTGCTCTGCTCTTCCTTAATGCACCCGGGGATGGCACCTGCTTCCCAGGTTGTTGTGGGCAGCAGAGCACTGGTGGGGTGGGGTCTCCAGATGGGCATTATGGGCTTGGCCCTGGGACATGCCTTGCTTTCAGGCCCCCACCTAGTGTCCCCTCTCCTGGGCTTTGAGATTTGGGGCCTTTCCAGAACAGTGAGGGGTGAGGCAGGATAGAGAGATTGTGGTTGTCACATGGAAGGCACCCCCCGGTTATCACTGGGGGTGGTGTGGACATATGGAGGCTCCACCTTAAGGCCACACCACCTGTTGTGGTCCTTGCATTCTCCAGCTTGTTTCTATCATGTCCTGAAGACATTCACACCAGCACAGGGCTGGAGATGCCAAGAGCTCCTGCAGCTCCCTGAAGACTCTGCTTCCAGGGGGTGTTTTGGAAAAAATCTTCCCTATCACCTTCAGCTTTTCCTCTCTGTCCCTCCCACAGTGGTCAGCATTCACTTTCTAAAGCTTGGCCTGACTTCACTCCAGGCTGGAGCCCCTGTGGATGTCTCTGCTGCATGGACTCTGGTGACTGAATCTGCACCTCTGTTCTGAATTCACCCCGGGGTGCCGGCCACTAGCGTTTAGGCCATTTAGGCCCTTCCTGACTCTGGGCCTTCCCCTGGGGGCCCTGGTAGGAACCCTCTGCCTCCTTTAGACCCCACTCCCATCCCCTGGGGCCACCTACTTCTGTCTTGCAGGGCATCTGCTTCTATATCACTCTGCAACCACACTTCCCTGGTCTGCCTGTCCCTCTCCCTCAGAGATGCTGTTCCCAGTGACTCTTGCGGGATGACAAAGCACCAACAAAACAGTGCCTTAAGACAACAGCAGTCACATTGTTGTCTCTGGTGGGTGGTGCTGGACTGGGCTGGCTCAGCATCTCCCGTGTGGTTGCTGCCAAGTGCAGAGGTGGGTGCAGCTGGGCTGGCTGTGTCTCTGCATGGTCTTAGGGCTCCTCTGTGTGTCTCTGAGCCTGGGCTATTTGGACTTCCTCTCAGCATGGTGGCCTTAGGCAGCTGGACTGCCAATGTGGTGGCTCAGGGCTTCTAGGGCTTGTTCTCCAGGGAGCAGACACCATGATCCAGGTTTTATGATCCAGGCTTGGAAGTCAAAGAGCATCACTTCTGCCATATCTGTTGGTTTAAACAGCTACAAAACCCATCAATCCCAGTCATTTGTAAGAAGAGAAGGTGGGACAGGAGATCTTGTCATGGTTGTCTTTGGACAACTCCTCTGCACAGGTGAGGAGGGAGGAAGACACATCTCTGGGTCCCCAGGAGTGGCCAGCACAGAGTCAGCCCCAGCCATGCCCAGGGAATTCTCTGCCCCTTCCCCATGTTGGGGGAAATCACAAATTCTTCCTCAGTGAAGAAAGTTTACACCCCCATAGCATCTGAGGGTCAAAGGTGCCTTCCAGGAACCCGATTTGTCCTCCCTAGCTCCCTCTGGGACCCATTCTCTGCAGCCCTGGGGAGTGGAGCCTGCATGGTCTCCTGAGCATCACTGCAGTGTTGCTCTTCCTACCTCCAGGGAGATCCTGAGAGAGCCCGAGTGTGCCCGGTGTGGATCTCAGCCCCACTGCTTTGGAGCTGGGAGACTCTAACACACAACTTAACCCGAGTCTCCATTTCTGCACTTGCAAAATGGTGATAATAATCCCCTCTTCTTAGAGCCGCGGCCAGGATCGATGGAGATAATAGATGAGAAAATACTTGGCTGGGGCAAAAGTGCAGTCTCGGCAAGAGTGTTCTTCCCCAGCACCCCTCCCATCTGATGCAGGACTTAATGAGAGCTGGCTGCTCCCTGGGATCTTTAATTAATTGTCCCAGCCCCACAGCCCCAGTGCTAGCAGATTAAACCCAGCCACGGTGGGGAGTAGGCTGCGGACAGCTTTGGATGCAAATGCCTGAAGCGAAGGATTTCTGCCTGTGAAATGGCTGAGTGGGTGATTTTAGAGCAGCTGCGCCCGGGGCTGCCCCCAGGGAGATGAGCCTCCGAGCCCTCAGCAGAATCAGTGCAGCCAGAGGGTGCCCTTTTCTTACCAACTCATCTCCGGTGCCTGTGGGGTGGGAACCTCGGCCTGCCAGCTCCAGCCCCAGCCCCAGCCCCAGCCCCAGCTCCAGCGTGCCTTGGCCAGCCCCAGAAACAGGAGGGAGGATGCAGGCAGATCAGTTCCACAGTGACCTAGAGGTAACCATCCAGGTGCCCTCCAGGTTCCCCAGCTGTTTCGTTCCCGAGGCGGTGCTCCGCCCGCCCTCTGCCCTCCAGCTCCTCCTGCATCAGACCTCGGCCTAGCCTTTGCTGTCCCCATGGCTTGGGATACTGTTTCCTGGCTGTCACAGCAGGGCTGTGTCCTCTGCAGCCTCCAGGGCTCCATGTGAGTGTCTGTCCTCGAGGGACATCCTTCTGGACACCCCCAGGCTGCTCTCTGCCTCGCCTGCACAGCTCCTGCAGCAGAGCCTGGAAAGCTCCCTCTGACTTGGTGTTTTGTCACCTCGCCCGCTGGTTATCAGCCCCATGGAAGCCTGGTGTCGGTGCCTGGGACCAGCTACAGGGGCTCTCAGGAGGGCCTGGACCGGGTCTGGGGCAGGGAGGGAGGAGCAGGAGCAGGCAGAGGAGACACCGAGCTTCACTGCTGGCACAAGGACAGCCAGGACTCCCTTTGGGCCTGGGACTGGAGTAGACCAGAGCTGTCCTGAGCAGGGGGTTGTCCAGGCCTGTGTGGCTCAGTCATAGGACATGGGCCTGGGGAGGATGGCACAGGGGTGCTGTCTGTCTGCAACTGGGGGTGATGCTGAGCACGTCTGGTTACAGCCCCTAGCAGCTGGGCAGTGTATCCTTCCATGAAGCAGGTCTGAGGCACATCCCTGCATCTGCCACAGAGGTAAGTGCCTTCACCTCTAAGTAGACAAAGCACTTGTAACACAGTGGGCGCTTAGTTACTCTTTGGCTGGCTGTACAGGATCTAGTCCCTACTAAGCACCCCAATTCTGATAACTTTTGGTTGTCCATGTCTGAGTCCCTGTTCTGCAGGAAACGGCACCCACACTATGGAGCCCAGGGTCCTGTGCTGGGAGCTTCCCGCAGCCTCTGTGCCTCCTCCTCCCCACTGGCCAGGGGGTCCCACTGTGTCTATTATGGATGAAGAGGTGAAGGTGTGGGCCCCAGGACGTGGTGCTCCAACCTCTGTGCTCACTGCCATGCTCAGCATGGCTCCCTGGGAGCCTGACCCTGAGGTGTGGCATGGACGAACCCTGGGCTGGGCTTCCTCCCTTTGCCCCTGGCCTTTACCCAGCACGAGCACCTCTGGGAAACACCCCAACCCCCAGGACAGTCTGAGTTCCTGCACCCTTCAGCCCGGGCTTGCCTGAAGATGGCTGTGTCTTTCAGCACCTGCATCTTCAGTGACTCCCCAGACTCCCCGCAGTCCCCACTCCCCACCTCCCTGGGCCCACGGTATGCAGCCACACCCAAGGCAGCCCAAGTCCCAGTAGCAACACCACACATTCCCAGAACGCTTACGCTGGGCCAAATTCAGCCTGTGCCTCTCCACAGCCAATCCTGCACTTGCCGGCCCCTAACTCTGTAGCTGCACACAGGGCCTGGGCACTTGAGACCTCAGACTCGCCACCGGCTCCTCAGAGCCCCTGCCCAGGTCACCTGTGTAAGGAGAACACAGTGCCAATGCAGCACAGCATAGTGACACCCGGCCTGCCGGGATTTAGCCCCCACCCTACCTAGCGGTTCTGGAGCTGCCACTGTGACCCATGCAGGGTCGAGCATCCCAGGTGAGTGCAGAGCCCCTGACCCGGGGATGTCACTGCTCTGTGGGACTGTCAATAGTGATACAGGAATAGAATCAAGGGACATAGGGGCAGCTCTGCCAGCACAAACCATCAGTAGCATCCAGCTTGGGGTTGCACAGCATCAGAAAAGCCTTCCTGGAGGAGGTGGAGTCTGAGCTGCCTCTTTAGGGTAAGTCTTTTAACAAGAAGAGGACCAAAAGGGTGGGCTACGCTGGGGGTGCAGAGGTGTGGGCTGTTTTCAGAACACCTGGGCTTGGGGTGAGCTGTGGGGGTGGGAGGTCAGGCTGTGGAGATGTGGCTGCTGCTGGGGCCCCTGTGCCTGCTGATGGGGTGTCTCTGGTACCTGGAACCAGGTGGAGCAGGTGGGAGTGGCCTGACGGGGTTAATGCCCACCTGGTCTCCCCAAAAGCCTTTGGAATCCTCACTCAGGGTCCAAGGACACCCTTCAAGCTGGCCCTGCCCATTCCTCCAGGCTCCCACCAGGGCTCCCCCACATCTGTGTTCCCCAGACACTCTGGCCTTCTTTCAGGCCCTCCCAGCCACTGCTGGGCCTTAGCACTTCTAGAACGTTCTCCTCTGCTCCCCTGCACCCCACTACCAAGTCTTTGTCCAGTTAACTGCATCACATTCTTTGGGTTTGAGCGTCATCTGCACTGGCTCAGGAAGCCCTTCCTGGCCCCAGATGGGATGACCCTGCCCTGTCCCCTCTCCCGAGGGGCTTGCACATCTTGGTGCTCTCACGGTGGTATGCCCTGTGACTCTTAGAGTTCCTGGCGCACTGTAGGGACTCAGGAAATACTTGCCATGCGAGCGGAAGAGTGAATGGATGGATGAGTCACCATTCTTGTGGTGACCTGAGGGCTAGCTGGATCCCAGGCCAGACAGAGAGCCCAGGAGAGTGGGGTCTGGGTCTCCTCGCCTTCATTGTGTCCTTGGCTCCTACCAGGCATCCGGAGTCTAGCGGGCACTCAATAAGTATGTGATGAGATCGTATTTTGGTGTGTTAAAAATTATTTTTTTGTCTATCCTAATTCCTCTTTGACTAGTAGTTATTCCCCTATTAAAACCTGACCATGGGCTGGGCGCGGTGGCTCATGCCTGTAATCCCAGCACTTTGGGAGGCTGAGGCGGGCGGATCATGAGGTCAGGAGATCGAGACCTTCCTGGCTAACACGGTGAAACCTCGTCTCTACTAAAAATACAAAAAGTTAGCTGGGTGTGGTGGCGGGTGCCTGTAGTCCCAGCTACTTGGGAGGCTGAGGCAGGAGAATGGCATGAACCTGGGAAGCGGAGATTGCGGTGAGCCGAGATCGCGCCACTGCACTCCAGCCTGGGCAACAGAGCGAGACTCCGTCTCAAAAAAAAAAACAAAAAAAACTTGACCATGAGACATCCGGTGGCCTTATGGAGGAAAGTTACTGCAGGTGAACAAGAGTTAGAGTCTTAGTTTTTCCATTTCAGGAGTCAATGCTTTTAATTTGCAAGAGCCTGGTGTGCCCCTATCAAATGCCCTGAGGGTCTCAAAGCTTCTCAGAGACGTGAAGGAGCAGGTGTGGAGCCAGTGACAGCTTCTCCCTCTCAGGAGGAAACAGAGTCTCTGGGGCTGGAGAAGCAGGAGGGGGTACGTCAGTTAGCTTTCATGGCATAGCAAGCCTTCCCAAAACCCAGGGGCCAAAGGCAGCACAACCGACAGTAATTTTTTCATTGTTCTGTGGGTTGCCCGGGGAGTTCTGGTCTCCGTGGGCTCAGCTGGGGCTGGATCATTGTGGCAGCCTCGCTCACATGTCTGGGTGGCCGCTGAGAGGCCCGGGGCTGGGTGCCAGTCTTCTATCCTCAAGAAGCCCAGCCCAGGCTTCTTCCCTGGGCAGTCAAGGAGGGCTGTAAAGCCAGGCTCTTTTCCAGTCTCTTCTTGCATCATTTGCTAGCGTCCCCTTGGCCAGGCCCAGGCTGGGGGGTAGAAGGAAGGAGCCCCTACTCTCCTGACGGGAGAAGCAGAGCACACGGTCATCTTGCAAGGGGGTGAGCATAGGGGAGTAAAGACATTTGTGACCTTTTTATTTGCAACTCACCACAGGGAGAGGAGGAGGATTTGAGTGAGACAGACCTGTGTCCTGCGAAGGCTCTATGCCCTGCCAGCGTCTTCTGGGTGGAGCTGGGGAGCAGGGATGGTAGAAGCCGGGGGATGAGTTGGGGGATCCAGAGAGATGGCTGTCTTTGTAGCATTTTCTGGAAGACAACATGGCTCAGGAGTGGCAGACAAGGCGGGGTGGAAGGGATACAGAACACCAGGGAACGGACACAGTGGGTATTACTACTGGACCCCAGTGTGGGGTGAACAAGACAGAGAGCTATCTGGGGACCTAGGCCTGGAGACAAGAGGGCCAGCAGAGAGCCCAGGAGAAACCAGGGAGGGCAAACGAAGATGCAAAATGGGACACTCCCAGGTCCCCAGGGGCAGGGGAAGCACAGGCAGGGGTCCAAAACCCGTTTGCACTGCAAGTGCTAGCTGGGTGGGTGACATTGCTGGGTGGATGACACTGTCGGGTGGGTGACACTGTCGGGGGGATGACACCACCAGGTAGATGACACTGGTGGGTGGGTGACACTGGCGGGGGGATGACACTGGTGGGTGGGATGACACTGACAAGCAAGTGACACTGGCAGGTGGGTGGCACTGGGAGGGGGTGACACTGGCAGGTGGGTGACACTGGTGGAGGGATGACACTGGCAGGGGTGACACTGGTGGGGGTGACACTGGCGAGGGTGACACTGGCGAGGGGGTGACACTGGCAGGGGGATGACACTGGCAGGAGGAGGAAACTGGTGGGGAGATGACACTGCTGGATGGGTGACACTGGTGGGGGATGACACTGCTGGGTGGGTGACACTGGCTGGGGGTGACACTGCTGAGTGGGTGACACTGGCTGGGGGTGACACTGGTGGGTGGGTGACACTGACAGGAGGGTGAAACTGGTGGGGGAATGACACTTTTGGGTGGTGACACTGGTGGGGGATGACACTGGTGGGTGGGTGTCACTGGCAAGGGGATGACACTGGTGGGGGGATGATACTGCTTGATGGGCGACACCGGTGGGTGGGTGACACTGGCGGGGGGATGACACTGCCGGGTGAGTGACATTGGCGGGGGGATGACACCTCTGGGGGAATGACACTGCTGGGTGGATGACACTGCCAGGGGGATGGATGCCGCGGGGGGATGGACACTGCTGGGTGAGGGACTCTCGATAGCCTAGAGCAGGGCTTGGCCAGGGGCATCTTTTTTTTTTTTTTTTTTAAACAATGACAAATGTTTAGATATGCTGCTGGAGATTTAAACAATTGAATAGTCCTAGTGATCTGTTTCCACAACAGAGGACGTCATTCTGAGATGTTTTCTATCAGAGACAAAGTCAGCTTCTCTGTCTTTTGTGTGAATCTTTTACTAATTTGAGGAGACAAACATTTTAAATAACACTTTGATATGGAATTCACATTCCTTAAAATTTACCTTTTACAAATAAACAATTCAGTGGGTTTTTTTTTTGTGGCAGTCACCAATATCCAATCCCATAACATGTCACCCGCAATAAGAAACCACAACCATGCCCCATGGCCTATCCCCATGCCCTTGCACCCACCAATCTACTTTCTGTCTGCAGAGATGCACTATTCTGGACCTTTCGTATAGATGGAATTTGTCTTGCAGGCGGTGCGGCCCCATGCCTGGCTTCCTTCACCACCCATAGGGGTTTCAGGGCTCCCGACGCTGTGCTGCAACACTTCATTCCTTGATTCTTTTTTTTTTTTTTTTTTTGAGATGGAGTTTCGCTCTTGTTGTCCAGGCTGGAATGCAATGGCGCAATCTCAGCTCGCCACAACCTCTGCCTCCCAGATTCAAGTGATTCTTCTGCCTCAGCCTCCTGAGTAACTGGGATTAGAGGCATGCGCCACCACGCCCAGCTAATTTTGTATTTTTAGTAGAGATGGGGTTTCTCCACATTGGTCAGGCTGGTCTTGAACTCCCGACCTTAGGCGATCTCCCAGCCTTGGCCTCCCATAGTGCTGGGATTACAGGCATAAGCCACCATGCCCGGCCGATTCTTTTATGGTTGAGTAATATTTCACCCCGTGGATGTGCCATGTTGCATTCACCCCTTCAGCAGTTGATGGACATTTGAGTGGTTTCTACTGTTTCCACTTTTATGTCTTTACAAGTGTTTTAACAAATCTTTGTCTAAGCGTTTACCCTTAATGCTTCAATTTTGAAACACTAGAAAATCTTATTATCTGTATACCATATACTTTGTAAAATTTGCCTTTTTCTACAAGTTCCTCACGTAATGCAAATTCACAGCTTCTTGCAGAACTATTGCTACAGGGCCATCAGCATGTGACACTAGGAGACTGTGCCATGTCATCCTTATGTGGGTCTGGGTCACAGCCGCCCATCTGCTGTGCTCCCTGGCTGCCTCTTTTGTGAAAAAGAAGGTGAGGAGGACCAGCGAGGAGACACGCCCACTCCAGGGGAACACCTCCTCCCACAGGTGGGTACTTTGTCGGGGGAGCCATATTCACATTTCTGCATACTTAAGGCAAAAGAATATTAATGCCCATTTTACAGATGGGAAAACTGAGACAAAGACAAGTCCAGAGGTAGCAAGAGGCTGAGCTGAGATGCACCTCAGGATTGCCCTGGAGGTGTCCCCTGCTCAAGGCTGCCTCCTGCACAGCCCAACAGCCTCTAGCAGGCAGGGCCATGAAGGGGACCCTCAGCCCCGGCCTCGGCCTCGGCCTCGAAGGAGAATCAGCCCATTAGCATTCCTCTCCTCTCCTCCACCTGCCCTAAGAGAGGAAACCTCTACTTAATCTTCAAAGAGACAACTTAACTACAGGTGACATAGAGTGTTTAGCTTATAAAGCGAAACTTAATGGAAGTGGAGTCTTCCCCTCGGGTACTGGAATCCACTTTCCCAATGCACTGCCCTATCCAAACCGCCAGGGCAGGCAGTGAGGCAGCTCTAGGGGATGAGGGCTGGGCATGTGTATAAAATCCCTGATCCCCTCCCAGAGCCTTGGGAAGCTGAGAGTAGATGTGTGCCGATCACCACCACCTGAGGGTTCCAGGACACAGACATCGTCATCCCTGTTCTACAGAGGAGGAAATGGAGCCTCCTATGCAAATTACATTCTTCATCACACCATGGCTCTTGAAGGGCGGAGGTCTCACTGGGCTCCCTGTGTCTCATGTCCTGCACAAGGCCTGGCTCTGAGGAGGGGCTGCACAACCTTCCTGCACAAGAATAAAGGCGGGACCGAAGCAGTGACTGTGTGAGAGTCCATGGAATGCCCAGGACCAGCACTCAGGGCCTTTGTCTTCTTGTCCAAGCACCAGGGAGCAGATAGGAGCAGCTTCGGCAAGACCCGGCTCAGTTGAATGAAGTCGAGTGTCTTAGGTCATGAACAGTACAGAAAGAGCTGTCCCTCTTCAGATTCGAGCGCTGCGGGGAGGGAGGGTGTGGTGAGGGTCATCACCTCCTGCTCCACTCCCCTGGCCAGAGCGGACTGGGCAGGGCAGCCCTGCGGAGGGGCCACTGGACAGCAGAGGTCGAGAGCAGCCTCCCTGGGGTTTGTCTGTTCCACTCTCCGGTTTTGTCAAAGATCATTTGAAAACTGGTCACAACAATATTTCCTGCTTCTTCTCAGCAGCAGTCAAGCACCCTATCCATGATGTTATATATAATAAATGGCTTTTGATTTACTGGCAGGAAAAACAATATCACTACCGATGAAATCTTATGCTGTGTTCTTACCAGTTAACAAGGGCAGGGTTGCTTGATGAAGAATCAAGTGGTTACATGTGTTCATTCACCAAAAGTTTATTGAAAAACTGCTTGGGTTATGATCGGCCCAGGGCTAAGCACACTGAGGTGGCTGGGACACCGTCTTTGATCTCTGGGAGCTCACAGTCTAGTTCCACTCTTTACTCTGGCCACTGGGTAGTTTATGGCTGCAATCTGTAACCCTTATAATTGAAATATTTGCCCCTCTTCCTTTCGTCAGTTCTGTTCTTCTATTTTAATTTTATTCTATGCATATCCTTTATTATCAGCTGTTGTAATATACTTTTATATGGGGATAAAAAAGGAAAAGATACAGATGGCAGATTAAGCATACACCCCTCCCCCACCTCCTCCTCCTGCTCCAGATCCCTGGAAATGACAGAAAGTATCTTTCTGTCTCTTTGCCTCTCTCATTCTCTCCCGCTGCCATGAATCCAGAATAGCTCTAGAAAACAATGACCAAATAAGTGCCATAAACAAGGCAGAGATGCTGAGGAGTTCCTGAGAGTTTGAACACAGAGGGACTGGCTGGATGAAGAATCCCAGGTGGGAGCTGCCCACGGTGTTCTAAAGGCAAGGCTCACAGACAAGGAGCAGAAGGCTTGGGGACAGTTGCTCAGGTGTCTGGGTGCAGAGCTGGCGTCTGAGTAATTGTCAGCCTCCCTCTTCCCTGACACCTGTCAACAGGGAGGTGGGAGGATGTCTGCCTCCAGGCTGGAGCAGCGGAGTGGCCGTTGAATAATCCTCTGGTGATGGGGGATCTGAGAGAAACGGGGGTTCCAGGGGGGACCCCGGCCCCACCCCCACCGCCACAGTAAACAGAGGCAACCGGGGAAACCATAATCTCATCTACAAACATGAGCATCCATCCCAAGTCAGCAAACCGAAATACAGCATTCAATAACTAGGAACTAACACCCAGGGAGATGCAGCTAGCAGCACAAAGAGAAAAGTAGAATTAACATCTTCAGAGGGGCAGGTTTAAGACAGTAACAGTGTGGAAAAGAGCCAGATACAGGTCTCTGGAATAAAGCCGTTGAAGTCAGGGTTTAGTGGCAGGCTGAGCAGCGAGTCGCCACCTCTGAAGGTGGCTTGGTGAATGTGACCATGGAATGAGGAACTCTCCTGGTGCAGTACTGAAGAGGTGGAGAGGATGAGAGAAAGGTGCTGTACAAGCTCACAGTTTCTAAGTGCACAGGTGGGCATTCTATACAGGGTGTGTGGAGGGGTTCAGATCCATAACTAAGGCACAGCTTGTCAGACAAAGGGTCACAGTGAGAACACATTAGAGGAAGGTGCATTGCTCAGAGATCCGGGACTAGGAGCTGCTGACGTTATCTCAATGTGATTTGGGTTGTCTCCCTTCGGGGAGGGGAATGTATTTTGGATGTACGTGGGATGAAAGCATAATTTAAGCAAGGAAGAGTTTTGAGATTTTATGCATGGTGAGAGCGTGTGTTTCTCTTCTGAGTAGCCAAGGGGTGGATTGTAGTCGGCTGTTGCTGCTATGTTGTGTGCTCTCAGAATGCCTGCCACCTCCCTTTTCCAGTGATAATAGCACCCCTTGCCTTAGGGGAACTCTTGCCCCATTCCATGTGGTCCTGTTGAACCTACCAATTAAGGTCTGCCCTCCTTCCACTGGCCACACCACACACACACACACACACACACACACACACACACACACACACACACGGAGTCACCAGGATAGCCACACGGTCCTGGCTGGACTACTAATGACATCCTATTTGGCTGGGGCAGTTGGAATGTGACCCAAGGCAGACCACCAATCCTCTCTGAAAATATTCTTTAAATGTGGTGAGGGAGAAACACTGTTTCTGCTGGGATTGTATGTCTGGGGTTGCCAGTGGCTGTTTCCTCTGATGCTTATAAAATTTCTGCCTGAAAAATGGAGCCAGACATAGACAGGCAGAGATAAAAACAAAAATGAAAATTAAAAAGCTGTTTTGGCATCACTGGAGGCCCTCAAGCTAGCTGTGCTTAAGATGGAAATGTCCACAGCCTGTCTTGTTAAGGAGCTAACCCACCTCTCACCAAACCCAAACACAAAACCCCAAACTTTCTTGCTTTTAACCATTTTCAGTTGGGTGCCTTTGTGACCAGTATCATCTTGACTTATATAGGATTTTTGAAAATAGTGTTGTATTTGTATATGAATATCATATCTGAATATCTTTCTGAAGTCTCTTCTTGAATTTTCCAGATAGATGTTTACATTAGCTGCAAAGACTTATAGTTTTATCCTTTTCTTTCCAATATTTACCCTTCGTCTCATTTTCCTCTTTTTTTGCCTCATCTATAATCCCTAGGATAATGTTGAATGGAATGGTAATAGTGAGCATATTTGATTTGTTTCTATTTTTTCACTCATTCACCATTGATTTAACATTAGCTGTGTGGCAGAGGTTGCTCTAGGTCCTGGAAATGCAGATGTGAACAAAATGGACAAAGTCTATCAGGAAGCTTTGAGGAGAAACAAGGATGGGGAGAGTGAAAGTGTATAGTGGGGAAACTGGATGCAGCTGTACCCTGGAGAATATGAGGTTTTCCTGGAAGAAATCATTCCAATGATACCCTGTGTCTTTTATAGTGAAATCTGATCTTTCCTATTTGGTTTCTGATAAATACTCTATCAAAGGTAAGAAAGTTTCTTTTAATATTCTGTTTACTGAAAGCTTTTTTAAAAAATCAGCAATGGATGTTTGATTTTATCAAATTCCTTTTTACAGCCATGAACATAGTTCAAGCCCTCCTTTTTAGCCTGTTAATGTGAACGACACCAACAGCTCTGCTAATATTGAACCAGCCTTGCATTCCTATATTTCTGTGTTATATTAGCATATTATTCTGTTACTACTACTGGATTCATTCTGCTAATATTTTATTCAGGAGTTTTGCACCTTTTTATAAGTAAAAATTAGTTTAGTATGTATGTTTTGTTAAGTTCTATGAAATGAACTTATAAAAGTTTCCTCCATCTCTATACTCTGAACTAGTTTAGGTTACATAGGTGTAATCTGGATGTCAGCTGAGATGTCTTGTCCTTGGAGAGGTCCGGTTCTCTCCCAGCTTCTCTGGGTATTTTGGAGGAGGTGTACATTTTCCCACTTCCCTCTTAGCTCTGAGCTTCGGTTGTAACTGAGGTGGTTCCATTTTTGGATTGTCTTTCTGAGCCATATGGGCTGTTTCTGTTCTGCCTTCAATTGCTCCTAATGTATGACACATTCTCTTTTCCTTACACCAGGCAGGTGGGTGTCTTGCAAAACTGACTGATGATTTAAGATTGAGGAGGGCTATGTCACAGTATCTCCCAGCAGACAGCCCCAAGGTAAACAGAAGACATCCCCTGTCCTCAAGGCTCCTTTGGCCTCCCCAGGAAGGGCCCCAGACACTCACACACTCTCTTTCCTCCAAGGAATGGCCAGGTCTCTGTTTTCTGGGACCCTCAGCTTTTGGTTCCCCCAACTTCATTCCGCCACTCAGGCAGACTGATTTCACTACCCTCTGTTCTCAGCACAGCTCCACTTTTGCATGGCCAGAGACCCATCACATCCGTGTTGTGCCAAACCAGGGCCACCTCCTCCTTTTACAATTTTCTCTATCAAAGGGACAGCACACAAAAATCCCAATTTCTCTGCTGTTTGGGATTGTTTCATAAAACTCAGAAAGCAGAGGTGGCTATCGTCACTTTTGATTTTAAATCCTTCCCCCTCTCCATCAGACGTGTCATCAGCCAGTGTTTTTCGGTTTCTCTGACTCCTGGGCCAGCTCACTCCATCGATAAAGTCAGAGGCTGGGGCTGGCATGACAGAGACCAACATGGGGCCAGTCTGTTTTTTGGTTTCTAGCTTGTCCCAGTGCCCCACACTTCACATCCACCTCTTCATTACTGAGCATTTGGGTAGCTTCTCGTTTTTGGTTTTCACAAATAATGCTGCTATGAATCTTCTCATACCCTTCTTTTTATGAATGTATGTATGCCATTCAATTGAGTGTGGGCCTAGGAGTGGAAGTGCTTGGTCATAGGGTTGGCATATGTTAGCTTTAATAGATGCTGCAAATCTCTCTTCCATGGAGATTGTACCAATGTACTCCCCCACCAGCAGCCTAAGAGTGTTCCAGGATTTCCAGCACATGGCCTTTTTCTGTCATTTTCATTATAATCATTCTGAAGGTGTGCAGCAGTAGCTCATTGGTGTTTTAATTTGCAATCCTCTGATGATCATTGAAGTCAGGCACCCTCTCCTGCATTTACTGGC
The DNA here is from genome assembly GCF_000001405.40 of Homo sapiens. NCBI lineage: Eukaryota > Metazoa > Chordata > Mammalia > Primates > Hominidae > Homo > Homo sapiens. The sequence goes on along the minus strand of NC_000003.12, from coordinate 127,380,307 downwards.
TATTGGGCTATCCTGTTTCATGAAGGTCCAAATCCTGCTCACTTTTCTATTGAGTGGTATCTTTGTTTATTGCTTTGTAGGAAATGTTTCTATTCTGGTTATGAGTCCTTTGATAGATGTACATGTTCTGAATATCCTCTCCCACTCCATGGCTTGCATTTTCAGTCTCCTGATGGTGCCTTCTGATGGATGGAAAGTCTTCACTTCAATGTAGTCCAACTTGCCAATTATATTTTTTATGGCTGAAGGTTTTCTGTATATCTTTCAAGCCATCTTTGCTCACCCCAAGGTAATATGGTTATACTCCTAAGCTTCTTTTTCCCAAGATATTTGCATGATGCATTCATTTAGGTCTCTGTTCAAATGTTACCTCCTCACAGAGATCTTCCCAGACCATCCCATCTAAACCAGTGTTCCACCATCACATGCCACCCCTCATTCCATTTTAATCTTCTTCAATGAACTGATCATTACTTGACTTTATATTATATATTGAGTTATTATTTATTTGTTAGTGTATTGCCAGTCCTCTACACTAAATGTCAGCTCCATAAGGGCAGGAATTTTTCATTGTTGTTCACTGTTTTAACCCCAGTGCCTAGAACAGTGTGTGGCACACATAGTAGCTTGCTATAGATTTATTAAATGAATACATAAATAACTGCATTTAGTCCTCACCACTGCCCTGTGAGGAAGGGCTTATTTTGTTGTCCCTTTGAGTCTGGGGATATTCCTCTTTAAAATCTCTGCAAAATCCTATCAGCCATTCATACTTTAGTATAAACAAATATTTTTACTCTGCTTTTCCTTGATAACATTTTGCAGGTGAGGACACTGAAGCTCAGAAAATCCATCATCCATCTCAACAATGTTTTTGGAGCCTGTTTTTTATTTTTATTTTCTGTACCAGGCTCTGGGTTTGGGTCTGGAGGTACAAAGATTAGTAAAACAGTGGTTCTTGAAGCCATTTTGTGGACAAGTGGCAGAGTGAAGCATGGAACTCAAGATCATCTGACTGCAAAGCCCACATTCTGTCTGCTGAGATGTGCAGGGGACTGAAAGAGGGACTTTTCCGGGTGGGAGAATCTTGAGCATGTTTGCAGGCTGTGCGGCAGGGCCCACAGGAGAGAAGGATTAAAGGTAAAGAAAGGCTGGGGCCTCAGGAGGCAGCCAACTCCTTCTCCTGATGCCCCCTGAGTCCTCCTTTACCTCCAGGCCTTACAAGGCCTGTGGTTTCAATTGTGTCCAGTCTGATCCCAACTTCCGGAAGGGACCCCCCAGCAAGTCTCTGTCCCTGGCTCCATAATCATCCCTTCCCATCAACCTTTCCCTAATAAAATTCCCTTTCCTGCTTGAGGCTCTCCTCTCAGAAAGGATGGGTACAGACTCATTTATACTAAAGTATAAATGACTAATTAGACAATGTTGTGTTGTTCCTAGTAGGGTTTTGCTTTTCCCAGAAGGGATTTGAAATAGGCAGTCCTGTCACTGGACGGATGACTCCATAATTGTGTAAATTCTGGCCGGATAAGGTACTTGGGGAACTGAGAAAACTATCCACATTTAAAATACCATGAAGGCAGCAACTCTTTTGCTATACCTGATTATAACCAGTCTCCATATTAGCATAACATTTTCCAGTTTGCAAAGTCCTTTCATCTCCACCAGGTGGGTCTGAGGAAAGGAGTCTCAGGGGAGTTCACAGTCTTCTGGAAGGGGTGGGGGTGAGGCTTGAGCCACTTTCTGCCTCTTCTGCCCATGTCCTTTCCACGCTGTCTGGAGCTTGGGCAAGGAGAGCCTAAGCAGCTGCACTCTGTGCCTTCTCTTAGAGGCTCTGGCTCCCAAGCACTCGATGATTAATGCTGATGAGCCCCGTTAGCCATGTAAGAGGGAGGGAGTTCAGCCCCCCTTGCTATCCGGCCTGCAATGGCACCTTTCGTACTTGTGAGTTGGGCCCGGATTCTTTGGCCCAGATCACTGGATTCTGGGATGACAAGGGGCAGGGAAGAAGGGACAGCAGATGTGGAGGCTTGTCTGTGGGAAGCCAGGGCTAGCCTGCTGCATTTGAATGGGGGGCAGTTTTTCAGACTAGCTCCCTGGCCCCTGAGAGCCTGTCCTGAGAAGCTTCGAGCCCTGGACCTCATTTTTGGTCTGCATCCTGTGGCCTTGGGAGACCCTGCTTCTGCAGGGCCTCAGTCCCCAATCTGTGCGGTGCGTGTTTGGGAGACCAGTGCTCTCTAAGGCCCCTGAGCAGCCTGAAAACCTCCAGTGCTTGCAGCCAGGGTGAGCATGCATCTCCTCCAGGTGGGTCCGGCTGGACACCAGGAGCCTGGTCACCTGGGGGTAAGGGCTTGGGATGGGAGTGGTGTGGCAAACAGTGCAGAGAGATCTCAGGGTCTGAGAGTCAGGTGGGTCTGGGCTCAGGCGCCTGCTGGGACTCATGTGAGCTGAGTTACCCTGAGCATGCCACTTAACCTCTCTGATTCTGCATCTGTAAAAGGCAACTAACGGTGCCCTCTAATGAGGATGGCAGGTGCTTACCAGAATAGGAGGATCTGGAATGGGTCCCAGTTTGAGAGGCAGGGATGTTTTTCAAATAAAAATCATTGTTTTTTTTTTTTTTTTTTTTTTTGAGACAGAGTCTCGCTCTGTCACCCAGGCTGGAGTGCAGTGGTGCTATCTTGGCTTACTGCAACCTCCAGCTTCCAGGTTCAAGTGATTCTCTCAGCCTCCTGAGTAGCTTGGATTACAGGCGTGTGTCATAATGCCCGGCTAATTTTTCGTATTTCTAGTAGAGATGGGGTTTCACCATGTTGGCCAGGCTGGTCTTAAACTCCTGACCTCAGGTGATCTGCATGCCTTGGCCTCCCAAAGTGCTGGGGTTACAAGCGTGAACCATTGCACTCAGCCATAAAAATCTGTTTCTGTTGCTTGCCTGCTTTAAGACTCTCTTGGGGTTTCTCAGTGCCCCTAGCTCCCTGACTTGGCCCACAGGCTGCTTGTGTCCCCCCACCCCTTGCAGCCCCAGCTCCAGCCTGGGCGACAGAGTGAGACTCTGTCTCAAAAAAAAAAAAAAAAAAAAAAAAAAAAAAAACCACTGATTTTTATTTAAAAAACATCCCTACCTCTCAAACTGGGACCCATTCCAGATCCCCCAATTCTGGTAACTCTCTGCTCCGGCCCAAGCAGCCTCCTTTTGGAATTTATCTCATTTAAGAGCTTCTCCTCCTTCTCTCTCCTTGGCCAACTTTTGTCTGTCTTTCAGTACCCAAGTCAAAGAGATTTCCTCAAAGAGGTCTTTTCCCAGTTGAAATGAATCCCCCTGTTACAATTTCTCAGAGGGCCATTGTGTCGGAACAGCCATGACAGAGCTAGAGAAAGATATCTTTCTCCCTCTTTTGTAAGTGAGGTCTGGAGGTCAACAGTGCCAGACTCCCACGGCACCTCCGTTAGCCTCAGGAACCCAGGCTCCTCTCTTGTTCCATGCCTCTCAACATGTGGCATACCCCTCATAGACCCAGAAGGCTGCTCCAGCTCTGGCCATTGCGTCTCCCTTCCAATGGGAAGGAGGGAGGACGAGGAAGGAGGACACTCACCTCTCCAATCATAAGATACTTCTAAGGAAGTATAGTCTGTTTGTGTCCCTCCAAAATTTATATATTGGAGCCTAATACCCAGTGTAATAGTGTAAATAGGTGGTGTGTTTAGGGAGTGATTAAGTTATGAGGGTGGGACCCTCACAAATGGAATTAGTGCCCTTATAAAAGAGGCCTGAAGGAGCCTGTCCACCCTTTCCACCATGTGGGGACATTTAGTAGGCTCCATCCACAAGGAACAGGCCCTCACCAGACATCAAATTGGTGCCTTGATCTTGAACTTTCTAGCCTCTACAACTGTGAGCAATACATTTCTTGTGTTTGTAAATTACCCAGTCTAAGTCATTTTGTTATAGCAGCCTGGTCAGACTAAGACAGAAGTTACACATTTACTTCTGCCCAAATTCCATTGGCAGGAACTCTCTTGTGGCCACATCCAGTTGCAGAAGAGGCTGGGAAGTGTGCACCATGGCTGTACCCAGCTGAAAAGGAGGCGAGAATAGATATTGGGAGGCGAGTGTGTGTGCCGAGACCCTGCTTCTTTCCTGCAGGGTCTGTAGTCATATGTTCATGTAGCACTGGCCTGGGTATTTCATATCTCTCCCTGACAAAGTCAGGGCCTGGAGAGCAGGGAGCCCCCACCTGCTTACAGGGGTCCCCTGTACCTTGCACAGTATCTGGGATACAGTCAGTAGAAGCTCAGGAAATATTTGCTAAACGGGTAGATAAAACTAGTCCTGGACTCCTCCCTTTGCTCTCCTCTGATCAAACCTTTAGGATAGAGCCCCTTCTTTCGCATTCCCTACCTTTTATTCTCTCTGGAGAAGACCTCTGGGGCTTTCCCTCCAGGGGCTTCATGTTTCCAGCTGCTCAGTGATTGGGCCTGGATGTTCAGACCCCTCTCCCTCCCAACGGCTGTGCAGGGATTATATCACGGGGTTTGATGTGCAGATGCTGGGGGTAGGGGGAGGGCTGGTATGAATTGGAACTGACAGATTCCAGCGTGAAGATGGCCTGAGTCCCAAGAACACCAGCAGCCTAATTGGCAGTGCTGTACATCAGTGCTTCTCAAGCGCAGTTCGGCCGAGAATCACCTGGGGAACTTGTTAAAAATACAAAACTTCTGAGTCAGTAGGTTTAGGGTGATATATTTGGTTGCAAGTGACATAACGCCAACTAGCTTAGGCAAGAAGGGAATTGACTGTGAGGGCACAGGGGCTTCTCTTGGAACTGCGATGAGGCTGGGGTGCCCTGGCAGCTGGCCAAGAATCCCATTGCCTTTGGGGCTGCCCTCTTCTTTGCTCCTCCAGCTCTGGGGTGCACTGACGAGCAGCTCCCACCCCAGAGGGAGTGACCTCTCTCCCCACAGGGTTCCTGCAGGAAAAATCCCTGGGGAGGGCTCTTATTGTCCCGGCCTGGGTATGCCCCAGAAATGCTGCCAGGGGGCTAGGTTCTGTGACTGGCCATGTTGAGGCTGGGGCCAGGGTAGGGGCGCAGGGCATGTGCAGGGCCCCCTGAGGACTCTTGCTGCCTCATGCACCAGGACGGTTCTGGAGGGTGCGTTCCTGGAGCTGGGCACTGGAGCCAGCTGGTTCTCTCTCATGTAGAAACCAGGGAACCCTAGTTTTCCAAAGCCTCTAGGGACCTGGGATGCACAGCCAGACTGGGGAGTCACCCTTGCAGACCAAGAGGACAGAGCCACAGCTGAAGACCAGAGCCTGAGACAAACACCTCCAAACTGGTCTCAAGGGTTGGGTAGGAGAAGCCCCCACTGCTTGCTGCAGGCCTGGTTCTTAAAGAGCCAGGAGGGGCATGCACTAGCCAGAAGAACCTGTGGGTGGAGATGCTCCATGGCTTCCTCCTGGAGTCACCATGCAATGAGGGGGAGTCTGTGCTCTCCTCAGATTCACCGGCATAGGGGCAGCCATGGCAGGAGCCTGGGCACTAGCTGGGGACACAGCAGGTCCTGGGGGCCCTGGGGCCTGGGCCAGAGGGGCAGGACACCAGATCCCACTCCTCCCTGTCTTCTCAGTGGGTCTGCAGCACACCTATCGGAGTCCCTCGGGATGCTTCTTAAAATGCACACTCACTGGCCCTAAGGAATCAGACTCTGCAGGGCTGGGCCCCAGGAAACTGCTTTTTAATTGAGCTCCTCAGGGTGGCAGTCACAATCCCCACCACCTGCCCAGGACCATTTGTGAACCATGGTCTTTGACTACCCTCCCCGCCTTCACAGTGCCTGGTCCTGAGCCCTGAGCGCTGGCCCTCTCTCTGCGCCTCTGTGTGTCCAAGGTGCCGGGCAGCAGGGGCAGCACCAGGGGCAGGTGTGGTGGGGAAGGAGCTGCAGCAGAACTGAGGCTCTCCCACAGCCCGGCTGAGGTCCAGGATCCTCCAGGAGCCACGGTGTCTGGGGAATGGATCCCAGTGTGCAGCATCTGCCCCCCAGGGACAGACAGTTTTGGACTAAGCTGCTCCTGCACAGCCTCTTTGAGCTGCTGGGCCCCAGCAGCCCTGGAAAGGGTGCCCCCTGTCGGTGGATCAAGCCCTGAGGCGATGGTTCACTGAGAAGAGGTAAGGGTACAAACTGGCCAACACGGCCCATCTAGCCCTGGATGTTTTATTTGGCCTGCAACGTGCTTTGAAAAATGAATTGGTTACCAATATTTAAAACTCAAATTCGGCATTAAAAATTCTTATTTCCAGCTCCTTTTGAAAACTTGGCAGAGTTTGTCCCCTTGGGTCCCCAGTGCACCTGAGCCCAGGCTGGGGGGTGGGTCTGGGCTCTGCAGCCCCACCTCCATGGAGTCTTACATGGCTTCTTCCTGCTGCTGGCCCCAAGGCTTTGAGGTTCTGACCCCGGCCAGGCATCCAGCTCTCATTCTGCCAAAAAATTATGATTATTGTTCTCATTGTCATCATGGTCACTGTTTGTCCTTAGAGCTATCACTCCCTGCACTCATACACGCACTGTCAGAGCCTCACTCCTGGCTCACTACACACACACTCAGAGCCTCGCTCCTGGCTCACTGCACACATGCACTCTCAGAGCCTCACTCCTGGCTCACTACACACATACACTCTCAGAGCCTCATTCCTGGCTCGCTGCACTCATACACTCTCAGAGCCTCACTCCTGGCTCGCTGCACTCATACACTCTCAGAGCCTCGCTCCTGGCTCACTGCACACATGCACTCTCAGAGCGTTGCTCACTGCACACATGCACTCTCAGAGCCTCATTCCTGGCTCACTGCACACACACACTTTCAGAGCCTCGCTCCTGGCTCACTGCACTCATACACTCTCAGAGCCTCGCTCCTGGCTCACTGCACACACACACTCTCAGAGCCTCGCTCCTGGCTCACTGCACACATGCACTCTCAGAGCGTTGCTCACTGCACACATGCACTCTCAGAGCCTCGCTCCTGGCTCGCTGCACTCATACACTCTCAGAGCCTCGCTCCTGGCTCACTGCACACACAAACTCTCAGAGCCTCGCTCACTGCACACATGCACTCTCAGAGCCTCGCTCCTGGCTTGCTGCACTCATACACTCTCAGAGCCTCGCTCCTGGCTCACTGCACACACAAACTCTCAGAGCCTCGCTCACTGCACACATGCACTCTCAGAGCCTCGCTCCTGGCTCACTGCACACACAAACTCTCAGAGCCTCGCTCACTGCACACATGCACTCTCAGAGCCTCGCTCCTGGCTCACTGCACACACACACTCTCAGAGCCTCGCTCACTGCACACATGCACTCTCAGAGCCTCGCTCCTGGCTCACTGCACACACACACTCTCAGAGCCTCGCTCCTGGCTCACTGCACACACAAACTCTCAGAGCCTCGCTCACTGCACACATGCACTCTCAGAGCCTCGCTCCAGCAATTGCTCTGGGCAAGGCCTATTTACCCATTTTATATGTGGGAAAGCTGAGGTTCAGAGTGGCCCCGTGACTCCACGGTGGTCAGTGGCAGAACGGGTGCTGCAATCTAGGTTTGCCTGCCATGCTCCCTCTGAGGGGGACCTGAGCTTTGCCCATGCCCTCTGACCTCTGACTTCTAACCTGAGCGTTTTTACTCCTCTGGTCCCTTCTCCCAGCCTCTGGCCTAACAGCCTCCTCAGGTCAGAATCATGCCAGATGCTGAGAGCCAAGGAGTATTGGGCCTGGGTGGAGTAGGGGCTCAGGCGCAGAAGCAAGGGCCCGAGAGGAGGCCACAGGGCCGAAATGCCTGCCAGGCCCCTCCCTCCACCCTCCGTGTGGCTGCCACTGAGTATGGGGCAGCTACAGGTTCCCATGCCCTGACCCCGATCCTTAGCCCTAAGCTGGAACCACAGGACCCTCCTGATCCTCCTCCATGTGCTTTGAGGGGAGCCTGTCTTCCCTAATGTCTGCTAGGGTGGCTGGAATTCCACCATTGGCATCTTTCGCAATGTCATTCTCACTTTTAGGAAGGAGTAAGGGGTCTGGGAATGAGTGGGGTGGCCATCCAGAGGGACATCCTCACAACAACCTCATCCCAGGCTGGCTGTGGAGGAGCGTGGCAAAGGCAAGAGAGGCAAAGTGTGTGCGGGAAACAGCAGGGTGCTTCAGCGAGGGTGAGGTGTCTGGTCAGGGGAGAAGCCTACCTGGGGCAGGGAAAGGGGAGGAGGAGAGGCAGCCTGGCTTGGAGGGGCCCTCAGAGGCTGTGGTGCCCAGGCCAGGCACTGTGGCTCCCACTGCTTCCTCCTATCTCCTCTCTGCCACCCTCAGTCCGTCCCCTCCTGCCTGTGCCCCTCTTCTCCCTCCGTCCAATCCCCCTGCCCAGCCCCATCTGTCTCCTCTGCATTGCGCCATGTGTCTGTTTTTTCTGTCTCTCTGGGTTGGTCTCTTTCCTCATCAGTGTCTGTCTGTCTGTCACTCTGCACATACATCTCTTTCTTGCTCTGTCTCTGTCTCATTCTGTGCATCCACTCCAGCATCTCTGGGTCCCCACGTCGCTATCTCCCTGGGGGTCTTTGTCTCTTTGTGCCGGGTCTTTTTGCTCTTCTCTCTCTGTGTCTCTCTCTGTCCGTCTCTGCCTCTCTGTGTCTCTGTCTTCCCTGAGGGGGTGTGTGTCTGTCTGTCCGTCCACTGGGTCTCAGGCAACTGAAAATACCCCCTGCGTCCCATTTGATGTGCAGTTGTGAGATTCCCTTTGAATATTGCAGCAGCGAGTTGACGGTTGCCAAGGGAACAGGTCAGGAGAAATGGGGGGACTGAGGGGGGTACTGGGAGCCAGGCGGGGGGTGTGGGTACGCTTTTCTGTTTTCATCTTCTTTGGCATTTTCCTTTTCCAAAGCACAAAAAAGGGCGACAATTTAAAATGATTTTTCAAGAATCAACACGACAGAAATAATGGCTCCTAATTGTATTGGACTAAAAGCCAGGCAGGGAGAGTGGCAGTTCCCCCTCCTGTGCCTGGAGGGAGTTAATGGCCAGATTCTGGGAGTGGGGTGATTAGAGGGCCTGGAAGCCACTTAGCCTGGCACCCGGGGCTGGCATCGCCTGCAGCCGGCTCCCCCTGCTCAGCTCTGAGCACAATTTCAGACTCCTGCTAAGCCTGGAGCGTCATGGCCGGACGTGAGATGAGGTTTTGTGGCCACACGTGGAAGTGGGAGGTGCATTGTACCTCCTGCTGGCCTTTTAGCTGGAGGTGGGGGCCGGGGGCTGGGGACCAGGGGCTGGGGACAAGAGGTGGGCAGAAGAGGCCAGGCTCTCGCCATTCTCAGACCAGGTACACATTCCAGTTTTCCCAGGCAGCTTTGCAAAAGCATCCTTGCTCTCCTCTGCCCAGCCCCAATTTGGTCATCATGGGGATTAACAGAGACGATCCCTGCACAGCACCCAGCACGGTGCCACACTGGCCTGGCTGGCCACACACCAGCCTCTGCTGTCCAAGTTAGAGAACCCTGTGAGCTTGGACTGGACTTGAACCATCTGCTTCTGGAGTGGCCATGGTTGTTTCACCAGCATTTACTCACTTGTACACCAGAGTCATCTGTGAGTAGGATGTGGGTTTGTGCATTAATAATGATTACTTAGTAACTATGTATGAATAGGAATTATTAATGGACTTGTTTTCTTGTGTCCTTTTCTAAACTATGAGCCCTTATCCATTTAACCTGCATAGTAAATCTTTGAGATAGGGACTATTATTGTTCCCATTTTACAGATGAGGAAATTGAGGAATTCAGTAACTATAATATGGAAACGAAAGTGCAATGATTGGGGGAAATACAGGAAGTCAGGGGATCAAAGAAGCAGACCCCCCTCTGCTCCCACCACCCTGTTAATGGAAGGCAGAGCTGGAGGGTACCACCAGACAAGGTCTGAGCAGGGTCTGGTGGGGTGTGTGGGTGTCTACTGGGTGCATTGTGCGAAGGTGGGTTTGGAGGGTGGCGTGCACGGACTGTAGACAGGTGTAGAGCTGGGTGTGAGACCCACCTGGGCAGATTAGGAAGGACCTGGAGTGGGGTGAAGGCTCCTCACAGGGGGGCCAGGGGGCTCCAGAGAGGGCTGAGCACCTATATCCTCTTCCCCACTCCCAGCTACCCATGCAGAACTGTGTTGAAGAACAAGGCTGTCACCACCCTGGGGACTTCCAGCCCCACCCAGCCATTGCTTCTGCGGGATCAGACTGCAGGGAGCCAGCTCCTCCCAAAAAGAACCCCCAGGAGGGAAGGATTTCTCCCTTCAGCCACCCACCCCTCATCCCCCACCGGCAGCCGGAAGCCTATCCTCTGTCCCTGCGTCTCCAGTTGCTTTGACCCCATCTGTCCCCGTTAGTTATCCTACCTCTTTCTAAGAGATGCCCAGTGAGGGTGGGGCTGGGTGGTGGGTACAGTGCCATTGCTCTGTCCTGGAGCATGCATGTGGCTCTGTGTAGTGTCTCCTTAAGGTGGAAGCTTCTCCCCTCCTGTCAAGCCCTGGTCCCAGCAGCTCCAAGTGCCAGCTGATGCTGCCCAGGGCATCTGAGCTGTGTTTCTTACAATCTGCAGGAAATGTGGTCCTGCAGCCTCCACCATTGGGTGAGAGGGAACCAGTATTGGAGACGAGACTGGGAGAAGGACACAGGTAGGGGTTAAGCTCTCTGTGGAGGGTGCACCTGCAGAGGGAGGTGGTGGGAGGACAGTATGGGCCCCAGTGTCAGGAGGGCTGCAGTGAAGAGGTGCAGTGGGCCTCGGCTGGTGGGGAGGCCTTGGAAAGGTGGAGAGAAAGGGGCTGAGCACCTCCTGTGGCTCTCTAGCAGCCTGGACCTGTGCCCCAGTGCCTGATAATCGAATTAGGACTGACTGATGCCTTTAAAGACTTCTTTTGGCAACTGGCCTTCCCTCCCCATGGGCCTCCCAGTACTGGGTAGGACCCTGAGTTTTATAGAGGTGCTCTTTAGTTTTTATATTCTGATGTTTTGGTATCTTGGGGCTTTGCTGAACTTGGAGGGACCACCCCTTTCAGTTCCTAGAGATAGGAGATGTCTCCCTGCCAGCGTACCTTTTATATGCAAACCACCCAGTCCAGAGCCCACACCCAGCCAGCGCCTCGCACACTCTGGACCACTGTCCTCCTACCCTATACCCCCAGGGCCAGGATCAGACAGCCAGGGACAGTCTTGTGTCCCAGAGTCCCAAAATTATTCAAATGAATTAACCCTATATCTGCTTACCTAGCTTGCTGTTTCTTCTTGTGTATTCTGTAATGGAGGCTCCTGCCCACAACCCCCTCTCCCTCTGCCTCCTGCCGACCCGCTGCTTCTCTGCATGGCCCTGCGTGGTGCACCCCACACTGTTCCTCAGGATCTGTGAGTAACCAGCCCTCTTTCAAATGGCAGTCTGCTCCTTCTCTGCTGGCCTCACCACGCTGAGCATTTAATGCAGCCTCCCAGGGTGTATGCCAGGCCCCTCCACGTGCCCCTGCAGGCCCACTGCCTTCTTCCTCTTCTCGGGGCCCTGGAAGCCTGTCCTTGGCAAGGATGACACGTGCAGGCTCTGGGCTTCCGGCTTCCAGGTAGCTTTGGAGACACCAGCCAGAAGCCTAAGGGCAGGGGGAGAGTGAGGTTGGGGGGATTATCCCCGTGCCCCTCCCTGCAGGGCATGGGCTCTCTGAGCTCCTCTGCAGAGGCCACGGCTCTTCCTGGGTGCCCTGCTCCCATAGGGGTTCTTTCTCTGGGTTCTGGGATGTGCTTTCTCTTCTCACCCTGCAGGTCTTGTCACGGCAAGGGCTTCCTGCTGTCACTGGCCCCAAGTGCTTCACCATCACCATTTCCCTGAGCCCTGACCGCTCTTTGTAAAGGGTCCTGAGTGAAATGCTCCCTCATTGTTCCACCGGTGTGAGTTTTGGTCTCCTGCCAGCCTTGATAACAGGGATGACAATGGCAGGGCCGGGCTGGGCAAGGGGTGGGGGTGATCCCCAACCATTAACCTGAGAAGCTGCCTTTCATCTTTAGAGAGTTTTCTGATTGACACTTCAATTAAACTATTCCAGGACAAACCACCAAAATGCTAAATTATATGGATCAGATGGGAGAAAATAGGCACACCCATTCACCTTCTTAAGTTACTTTTTTCCTTTTTTTAGAGAGATAATTGGGACTAAGTGTTTCCCAAAATGTGTTCGTTCTTCTACCACCTCCGCAATTTTTGCCGTATCTGCACACCACCTGTATGATTATTTATCTAATAATTTCCTTTCACTCAGCTTACTTTTTGAAACAGTCAGGTGTATATAATTTACATAATTGGAGATATAATTTACATACAGTAGAATTTACCCCTTTGAAGCGTGTCGTTCAGTGAGTTTTGACAAATGCACACAGCCACGTGACCACCACCACCAAGACCTAGACCAGCGCACCACCCCCACGCTGCCCTGGTGTCCCTCAGTGGTCAGACCTGTCTGCCGCCCGAGGCCCCGGGCCACCCTGATCTGATTCCTGTTCCCGGGGTTTCCCACTGTTCTGCCTTTTCCAGAACTTCATGTGAATGGGGTCATACAGTGTGTGGTTTTTGTGTCTCACTCCTTTCACTTAGCGTGATGCTGCCACCCCAACCTTTTTCGTTTTTATTTTTTTTTGAGGCGAAGTCTCGCTTTGTCACCCAGACTAGAGTGCAATGGCATGATCTCGGTTCACTGCAACCTCTGCCTCCCAGGTTCAAGCAATTCACCTGCCTCAGCCTCCCGAGTAGCTGGGATTACAGGCATATGCCACCACACCTGTAATTTTGTATTTTTAGTAAAGACAGGGTTTCGCTATGTTGGTCAGGCTGGTCTTGAACTCCTGACCTCAGGTGATCTGCTTGCCTTGGCCTCCCAAAGTGCTGGGATTACAGGCGTGAGCCACCTTGCCCAGCCCACCTTTTTTTTTTTTCTAATCAAGCTAAAACCAAAACCATAATGTACTCATTTTATTGTCCAGCATTCTTGTTTCTATATGCTGTGTTTGCATGTAATAATTCATCAAACCCATAGCCTGGCTCTAGTTTTGAAATGTTTCCAGGCAGTAGAATTCTCCCTTCTTAGTTGTGACAAATGCATACAGTCACGTATCCCCCACCGCAAGCAAGGTACAGACAGTGCCATCACCCCAAAACCTCCTGGGCCTCTCTTTGCCATCAATCACTTCCCCCTCCCCAAACCTTCCCCCTGTAGGCACTGAGCTGACATCCCTCCCATAGGTTTACTTTTGCCAGAGTTTTGTGTGAGTGGAATAGATGTGGCATTTCAAGTCTGGTGTCTGTCACTGAGCATGTTTGAGATTCTTCCATAGTCCTGCATGTATTAATATTTGTTTCCTTTTCATTTCTGAGTACTATTTTATTGTACAGATGTGCCACTGTCCCTTAATCCATTCACCAGCCAATGGACACTTGGGTTGTTTCTGGTGTGGGCCTGTTACAAATAAAGCTGCTATAAACATTTGTACACAGGTCTTTGGCCATATGTGTTCATTTCTCTCACCTCACACAGACTTGCAGGGTTGTATGGGAAATGTACGTATAGCTTTATAAGAGATGGCCCAACTGTATTCCAACCAGGCTGCACTCTTTCCCTTCCCGCCAGCAGGGTGCGAGAGTTCCAGCCGCTCTGTATCCGTCAGCACTCAGCTGTGAGGTTTTGCATTTTAGCAGATCGAGTAGGTGTGAAGTGGTAGCTCACTGTGGTTTTAATTTGCATCTCCCTAATGACTAAGGACAACTAATGATGTTGAGCATCCTTTTGGAGGCTCATTTCCACCTGTATCTCTTCTTGGGTGATGTATCTCTTTATCTCTTTTGTCCATTTTTATTGGGTAAAAGTTTGCCTTTTTCTTATGGAGTTGTAAGAGTTCACTTTATACTCTAGACATCAGTCTTTGGTCAGATATATGTTTGGCACATATTTTTCCCAGTCCTTGGATGCTTTTTCATTCTCTTAACAGTGTCCTTTTTCTTTCCGTTTAATTTTTTTTTTGAGACAGGATCTTGCTCTGTCACCCAGGCTGGAGTGCAGTGGTGCAATCTTAGCTCACTGCAGCCTCAACCTCCTGGGCTCAAGAGACCTTCCCACCTCAGCCTCCTGAGTAGCTGGGACCATGGGTGGGCACCACCACACCTGGCTAATTTTTGTATTTTTGTAGAGATGAGGTTTTGCCATGTTGCCTAGGATGGTCTTGAACAACTGGGCTTAAGTGATCCACCTGCCTCAGCCTCCCAAAGTGTTGAGATTACAGGTGTGAGCCACCACACCCAGCTTCTTAATGTGTTTTTCAAAGAGCAAGGTTATTTAAGTTTGATGAAGTCTTCAACTTACTTTTAAAGCTTAAACATATTGCTTTACAGCTTTACATGGCAAACTCATTGTACTTGCCATAAATTGATATGTTATAAATGATTTTGGTAGAAAGTTACAGAAAACTCAACTTTCAAGGCCTTTGGGAGTTATCCTAATAGACATGTGATTATGCCACGGAACAGGGAACCTTGAAAAGGTAGTGTCATCGAAGGCTAGGCCTTCCCACCTCTCCACACCGCCTTCAGATTCCACAGCCTGATGATGTTTGCCCTCAGTCTCATTGCCCCGAGTTACTGGATGGTTGCCCAGCTCTGGGCATCACACCCGTGGTTCAGAGCAGGAAGAAGAGCAAAGGCAGACAGAGCAGGGCTGGGTCAGGGTGGGGCCAGCCAGGGACCCAAGGTGGCACATTGAAGGAGGCATTGGTCTTGGTGTATGGCCCTGACGGTGAGCACCTCCTTAAATATGGTACCCTGGGCACCTCTCTTGCCTCGCCTTAGTCCCAGCACTAGCACAGAGCTGGGAGTTTCCCTGCCTTTCTCTTATCATGTGATCTCTCTCCCAGAAGCTCTCCCAGCAGACTGCTCTATGTCTCATGGTTAGAACTAGGACTGTACTCATAGCCTTTCCTGAATGCAAGGGTGGCCAGGGGAGAAGACATCTTGGCATGTTGCAAGAAAAAGTGGAGAAAGCATGCTTCTGTGTAAAGGGGAAGAACTTTCCTGTGTTTAAGATGCAAGCAAATCATGCATGTCAAAAGAACATAACCAAAGATATGTTTTGAAACTGCCAGCTTTGCTAACTTACAAAATCTGTTTAGTTCCGGATGCATTTGAGTTTGTGGCCCTTGTTAAAATCCATATACATTATGGAATTACAAAGAACACAGAATGACTGGAACAATCTTGGAAAAGAACAAGTTTGGAGGACTACACATCCCAATTTCAAAGCTTATTACAAAGCTACAGTGTGGTACTACTTCAGAACAGACATATAGACCAATGGATAGAATTGAGAGTCTAGCAATAATTTATGGTCATTTATGTTCAACTTCTTTATGGCAAGGGTGCCAAAAAACTATTCAATGCAGAAAGAGTGGTCTTTTGAACAATAGTGCTGGGGAAATTGAATATCTACACACACACAAATAAATTTGGGCTCCTACCTCACACCATATACAAAAAATTAACTCAAAATGGATGAAATACCTAAAACTATAAGAGTTAAAACTACAAAATTCTTAGAAGGAACGATAGGGGAAAAGATGTGTGACCCTGAATTAGGCAACAGTTTCTTAGATATTGTTCCCAAAGCACAAACAATAAAATAAAAAATAAAGTAGATTGCAAAACTAGTAAAAACTAGTACATCAAAGGACACTATCAAGAAAGTGAAAAGACAACTCATAGAATGGGAGAAAATATGTTCAAGTCATATATCCAATAGGGGTCTAGTATTCAGAAAACTTAAAAACCTCCTACAACTCAAAAATAAAAGGATGAAGAACCCAATTAAAAAACAGACAAAAGATCTGAGTAGACATTTCTCCAAAGAAGATGTACAAATGGTCAGTAAGACATGAAAACATCCTCTGAATAGCACTAGTCATTAGTGAAATGAATAGCACTAGTCCATTAGGGAAATGGAAATCAAACCCGCAACAAGATAATGATTTCACACCCGCTAGGATGGCTACAATTTTTAAAAAAGGGAAAATAACAAGTGTTTCTGAGGATGTAAAGAAATTAGAATGCTGGTGTATTGCTGATGGGAATGTAAAATGATGCAGCCACTGTGGAAAATAGCTTGGCAGTCCCTCAAAAAGTTAAACATAGAACTACCATATGACCCAGCAATTCTACTCCTGGGTATAAAACGTATGTTCACACAAAAACTTGTACATGAATATTCATAGCAGCATTATTCATAATAGTCAAAAAGTGGAACCCATCCAAATGTGGCACATCCATACAATGAAATATTATTCAGCCATAAAAAGGCATGAAGAACTTGCTATTCCAAGTACTGAACCTTGGAAACATTGTCCTAAGTGGAGGAAGCCAGTCACAAAAGATTGTGTAGCCTGCGATTCCATTTATATGAAATATCCCAAAGAGGCAAATCCATGGAGACAGAAAGCAGATGAATGACTCCCAGGGGCTGAGGGAGGGCGGAAATGGGCCGTGGTGTTAAGGGTATAGGCTTCTTGGAGTGTGATTAAAATGTTCTGGAATTAGATAGTGGTGGTGCTAGTGCAACATAGTAAATATACTAAGAACCACAGAAGTACCCATTTTTAAATGGTGAAGTTTATGTAGTTTATGTTATGTGACTTATATCTCAATTAAAAAATTGTTAAAAGGACCTTGTGCCTGGAGAGGCTCCAGGCTGAAAGCTGAGGAGGGAGGCTGTTCCACCTGAGAACATGTGCCTTCTTCCCCATCAGAGGCACCCATGGTGGAGGGGGACCCACGTGAGGAGAGGCAGGGGCTGCTCCTCAACCTGGGTAGGACAGGTGCGTGCTGCCTTCTGAAGGCAGCAGGGGCCGTCTGTGGTCCTGGAACGCAGTGGCAGTCTCGGCTGAGGGCCCGGATCCTCGTATACCCAGGCAAACGTCACCTGCAGGTTTCAAGCCAGCCTGGCGTAGGCTGCTCTCGCCACACGTGCGTGGAGCCTTGGAGACACCTGGGGTGCCAGCTTCTGGGCTGCAGCCCCAAGAGACAAACAACTTGCCGTCTCCCTTCCCTCTGTGTGCACAGCCTGGCTTCATTAGTGGGGAGGTGATGATCTAATTTCCTCCAAACAAGTGTTTGGGATGTAGAATTTTCCTTCAACAACGAGCAGTGGCAGATGGTGAGAAATCTGCTTGCACCTTCCGGGGCTGGGTGGGGGAGCCACCCTGACATACCTGCCAGCCTGGCAGGCACTGCCTACTGTGGCCCAGGGTTTCCTCATGTCCCGGCCTGGGACATGACTGGCTAGAGCTATAAGAAGGATGATGCTGGTCCATCAGTTGTGGGGGTATAAGGCAGGCAGACTGGCAGGAGTTCTTCCTACGACTCCTCCACCAGCTCAGAGTTGGGGAGCCCTGCATTTCCCACACGCTCAAGAGTGACTTGGGCAGGGCACTTGCCCACCTGAGTCTCCAGGAAGGGGATCTTGAGACAAAGCTCAGTAGGCAGGGTGTTTGGGGGCCAGTCCTGTGGCAGGGAGGGAGGAAGCAGGAAGGGGCAGAGGGGCACACTGAGCTGCAGTGCAGGTGCAGTGACAGCCTCCATTACCCTTGTAGGAATCCTAGAGCTGTTCTGAGTCTGGGATGTGGCTGGGCATTGCTTACGTGGGGCAGTCATGGGACATGGGCTCTCCCTGGGGCAATGACGTATGCCTCTGGGGCGACCTCTGCCAAGGCCTTTCTGCCCCCAGCACTGCTGGGAGCTGGGGAATAAGCCCTAGAGGGACCTGGGTGGTGTGATGTGGCCTCCAGCACACCAGTCTCTAAGGTGTGGAACTCGGAAGCCTCTTGCTCTGGGTGAGATACAGTGATGAGGACAGAGAGGCAGCAGGGAGCTCACCCTGTCCAGGGCTTTCGGCCACATTATCAGTCCTTACAAGGATGGTGTGATCTTGGCGGGCTGCCTCTGAGATATTTTACCAATCAGAAAAAGATCCCAGGTCTGATTTGTCCCTGTCTTGGGTCCCCAGGGCCAGGCTTTCCTGGTGTGGAGCGGGCACTGGTAATCTGTTAGTGCCTTCACTTCTCAGTTCAACTGTGGCTTCCACCATTGTCCTATCATTTTCTTAGCATTAATTCCCCTTTTACCAGATGCCCTATGACAATAGGATGTGCCAGATCCAACATTTAGGTCTTTTATTGTCCTTCTTAAATTTTTTTTTATTTTTAGAGACAGGGTCTCACTCTATTGCCCAGGTTGGAGTGTGATGGCACAGACATGGTTCACTGCAACCTCAGACTCCTAGGCTCAGTGATCCTCCCACCTCAGCCTCTGGAGTAGCTGGATCGCAAGCAGGCACCACCATGCCCAGCGAATTTTTTATTTTTGAAAGAGATGGGGTTTCACCGTGTTTCACAGGCTGGTCTCAAACTCCTGAGCCCAAGTAATGTGCTAGCCTCGGCCTCCCAAAGTGCTGGGATTACAGGCATGAGCCACTGCACCCCAAGTGTCCTTTTTTTTAAATACATGAACTTTTCTTAATAAAGTCAATGAATGAAATGATTTTTGTCATAGTAGAAACTGAGAGTTGAAAAGATATTCGCAGAAACTCTATAAGGCTCTTTCCTGTGTTTGAACCAGCTTCGAGCCTTGACTCAAATGTCTCCCCCTCCACAAAGCAGCCCCAAATGTCCCTGTGGTCCGGGCACTGTGCGCAGCCAGCACACACCACCATCTCGAGTGGCTCGTACTGCCAGGCCTCTTTATAACACAAATGACAGACAACTCCATGCAAACCACCATCAGTGGCAGAGGAAGGGTGGCCCAGGCACTCAGGAGTCTAGTGGGCCGCCTCCACTGAGACTGGATCTGCCCGTCAAGCAACAATCCCAAGAGCCCGGGACCTCCTTGGCTCCCCTGCTCCCCCGCAGCTCTGGTGCCCACACCCTCATACCCCTGCATCCTTCCCAGAAGTCCAGATGGCCCTGGCTCTCATGGGGCCATGTAGCCTGAGAGTGGATGATCAGGGTGGGCCCCAGAAGAAAATCAAGTTTGTTGTTTTCCTAACCAGGGGAAGGATGAATGGACTTGGCAGAAGACCCTCAAGTCCTCTCAGAAACAGATGTTGCCACACCCACATCTGAATTTGTTGAACTCCTGTTAGCCAAGGGACAACCTGAAGGCCACCACATCCCGGAAGCCCTCCAGCCACAGGTTAAAGCTCCAGGCCATTCCATGCTGGCAGGACTCCTTGCCGGCCTGTCTGCTGTGCTGTGACGATGGTGGTCGAGACCATAGCCCTGAGGGCCCTCATGGTGCCTGGCTGCTCTCTTGTTCTCCAGTCTGAAGCACGACCTGGCCTAGAGAAAGAGCTGACGGGTGTCTTCTCGCTACATGAACTGGCTTGTCAGGCTGATGAGGTGGGGACCATGGAGCAGGCGTGGAGCTTGGGTTCATGGGGAGAATCCCAGGATTGGGAACAGGCCAGGCCTAGCACAGCCTCAGCAGTGTCACTGGGGACTGCCACATAGCTGTGACCCCATGCACTGAATGCAGCAGTGGGGTAAAAGGTAGGGGACACCCCCTAGAGTGCCACAGATGGCTCTGGGGTTCAGCCACCTCAACTCTGCACCCTGTTGCCCCAGCCCAAGCCCAGATGGGGCTCTGGAACGGCCACTCCCACACTGAACACTTGCCCTCTGTCTCCCACCACGTTGTGTTTCCTCCTCTGTGCCCTTCACAGCTGTGGTATGTCTGAAAAATCTCCTTGGAGGAGCTTAGGGGTGGCAGGAGGCGGTGGGGACATATGAGACTTGCTTTATTCAGCTTGCATGTTTACTTGGGGAGACTGTTGTGGGGATGTTGGGGACTATGGGAGAGGGAGCTAAAGCACTCTCAGACCTTGGTGCCACCATGACAAACTTCTAGAAAGAGCTTCTACACTCACTGTCTCCACTTCTCATTCTTCAACCCATTTCCACCTGCATTGGGGGCTGTCTCACCTCACTCCCTAAAATTGTCCCATCTTAGGGCCACCAGCAACCTGTATGCTGCTAACATGAGTAGCTGTTAAGTTCTTGTGTTAGCTGACCTCTCAGAAGCTTCAGTGAAATCCAAAATAATATGGGGCTGACATGACAGTTGAGTTCTCTCTACTGCATATGCACACAGTCCAGGCCTGACGCAGCAGCTCCAATGTCTGCACAAACTCAGACTCCTTCCACAGTGCTGCTCCTGCATCTCAGACATGCAGCTTTTTCCCTTATGGTCTAAAAGACTGCTGCAGCTCCAGCCATCATGCCTACATTCCAGTCAGTGGGAGGGAGAATGAGGAAAGAGTTTTGCCCCTGCCTGTGGGGGCCCTTCCAGCAAGCTGCACGCTCCACTTCTGCTTATATCCACTGGTCAGAACTTTGTCACATGGCCTCACCCAGCTGCAAGGAAGTCTGGGAAATGTCTTTGTGCTCAGCACCTATGTCCCCTGCTAAGGACAGGGGATGGTTACCAGGTGATAGCTGGCCACTCCTGTACTTTTGGCTTCGATGACATCAGCCCACCTGGTCCTCATTTACCCCTTTGATGGGGTGACACTTCTGCCAGCCCCTGGCTTGCTGGGGTGTCCGCAGGGCTCTGCCTCAGATCGCCCTATTGTTCTCTTCTCATTCTGCACACCAGCCCTTAGCTGGTTGCTTCCCATCCATGCAGGGACCACGAGCTCCCAAGCTCCCAACTCAAGCCAGGCTTTCACCCCTGAGCACCAGACACCCTTTCTAAGTGCCTGCTGGACAGCCCTGCCTAACATCGTACAGGCTTTGCAGCCTTGCCACGCATGTGTCCCTCTGGCCATCCCAGGGAACAGCTTCTGCCCATCCAGTTCCTCAGGCAGGGTCCTGGGCCTCAGGGTGTGAATTCCATCCTCCCCTGCTCCCCGACTTTTTTTTTTTTTTAGACAGAGTCTCTGTTGCTCAGGCTGGAGTGCAGTGGGGCGATCTCAGCTCACCGTATCCTCTGCTACTGGGTTCAAGTGATTCTTCCGTCTCAGTCTCCCAAGTAGCTAGGACTGCAGGCACGCATGACCACACCCCACTAATTTTGTATTTTTAGTAGAGACAGGGTTTCACCATGTGGGCCAGGCTGGTCTCAAACTCCTGACCTCAGGTGATCTGCCCTTCTTGGCCTCCCAAAGTGTTGGGATTACAGGAGTGAATCACTGCCTAGCTTACTTCTTTATCAGACATAATCACGAGGTCTCAGCAATTCCACTTCCAGATGTCTCTCAATCCTCCCACCCCTGCCTTCTAGCCAGTGTCACCACCCAGTTCTCACTGAGGCCCTTTCCCCCTGCACCCACTCACCGTATCTGCCTGCAGTGCTTCTACTCCCAGCTGTGCTCCACACTCTTGCTGGGAGGACTTTGACAACGCGAAGTAACCACTTCCCTCTCAGAGGCTGCCTGACTCCATGTTGTTCTCCATGTGCGTCTCTGTCTTTATCCATCACCTCCACCCTCGTCCCAGGGTGTCCAGGGTACCCACTGTATTTTAGGGACCCATGCAAGTTCCTGGAGGGCTGGCACACATCTGTTTCATTCTTTGCTCTGTCATCTAAGCAAGTGCCTGGCATGGGGTAGGGCTCAGTGAGTACTAGTTGTCAATAGGGACAGTAGAGAGGTAGAATGGAGACAGCTCAGCAGAGAAAGGCATGTTGGTGGGACAGAACAGAAAGCTACACATAGGCCCAGGTCCATACGGATTCAATATGGATGGAAGTGGCATTTCAAACCAAAGGGGAAAGATGGATTTTTTAAAAAGTTATCAGGACAATTAGGTCATTGTTTGGGAAAGAAAATGAAGCTGAATTTAGACCTATTGTGAGCCCTAAATGAGTGGGTTTGTGCCTAGCACTGTTCAAGGCAGGGGACATAAGAGTGACAGAACAAAGTCTCCCCTCACAGTGCTCAGTGCCAGCAGAGGAACAGAGGTCAAACCTACAGGGGAAAGAGGAGGCAAGGGGAGTGTGGGGAGACAGGCAAACCAGGGCCTGGAGGCAACAGCTGCTATTTTAGATATGCCTCAGGCAGAGTGAGGAATGAGGCATGTAAATGTTTTCAGGAGGGGGCTGGTGCCCAGGTGGATGGAACAGAAAAAGGGTCTCTGTGTGCTTGAGGAAAAAGAAGACCAGTGATATCGTTTGGCTCTTTGTCTCCACCCAAATCTCACCTTGAATAATTACTGCATGTCAAGGGCAGGACCAGGTGGAGGTAATCAGATCATGGGGGCTGTTTCCCCCATGCTGTTCTCATGAGTTCTCACGAGATCTGATGGTGTTATAAGGGGTTTCCCCCTTGGCTTGGCTCTCATTCTCTCTCCTGCCACCCAGAGAAAAGCTGACTTCCACCATGATTCTAAGTTTCCTAAGGCCTCCTCAGCCATGTGGAACTGTGAGTTAATTAAAGTTCTTATCTTTATACATTACCCAGTCTCAGGCAGTTCTTCATAGCAGCATGAGAACAGACTAATACAGTAAGGTGGTACCACAAAGAGTAGGGTGCTGCTATTAGGATACCCCAAAACAGGGAAGTGACTTTGGAACTGGGTAACAGGCAGGGTTTGGAACAGTTTGGAGGGCTAAGAAGTAGACAGGAAAATGTGGGGAAGTTTGGAACTTCCTTGAGATTGGAGGGCTCAGAAGACTGGAAGATGTGGGAAAGTTTGGAACTTCCTAGAGACTTGTTGAATGGCTTTGACCAAAATGCTGATAGTGATATGGATGATGAAGTCCAGGCTGAGGTGGTCTCAGACGGAGATGAGGAATTTGCTGGGAACTGGAATAAAGGTGACTTGTTGCTTTGCTTAAGCAAAGAGACTGGTGACATTTTGCCCCTGTCCTAGAGATTTGTGGAACAGTGAACTTGAGAGAAATGATTTAGGGTATCTGGTGGAAGAAATTTCTAAGCAGCAAAGATTCAAGAGGAAGCACAGCATAAAAGTTAGGAAAATTTGCAGCCTGATGATGCCATAGAAAAGAAAAACCAATTTTCTGGGCAGAAGTTCAAGCTGGCTGCAGAAATTTGCATAAGTAATGAGGAGCCAAATGTTAATCACCAAGACAATGGGGAAAATGTTTCCAGGGCATGTCAGAAAGCTTCACAGCAGCCCCTGCCATGACAGGCCTGGAGGCCTAGGAAGGAAAAATGGTTTCATTGACTGAGCACAGGGACACCCTGCTCTATGCAGCCTTGGGGCATGATGGGTGCCCTGTGTCCCAGCTGCTTCAGCTCCAGCTGTGGCTAAAAGGGGCTAAGATACAGCTTGGGCCATTGTTCAGAGGGTGTAAGCCCCAAGCCTTGGCAGCTTACACATGATGTTGGGCCTTCAGGTGCACAAAAGTCAAGAATTGAGGTTGGGGAACTTCCCTCTAGATTTCAAAGGATGTATGGAAATGCCTGGATGTCCGGGCAGAAGTTTGCTGCAGGGATGTAGCCCTCATGAAAAACCTCTGCTAGGTCAGTGCAGAAGGGAAATATGGGGTTGGAGCCCCAACACAGAGTCCCCACTGGAGCATTGCCTAGTGGAGCTGTGAGAAGAGGGCCACTGTCTTCCAGCCCCCAGAATGGTAGATCCACCAACAGCTTGCACCATGAACTTGGAAAAGCCACGGACATTCAACACCTGCTTGTGAAAGCAGCCAGGCTGGGGCTGTAAACTGCAAAGCCACAGGGGCAGAGCTGCCTCAGGCGATGGAAGCCCACCTCTTGCATCAGTGTGACCTAGATGTGAGACAAGGAGTCAAAGAAGATCATTTTGGAACTTTAAGGTTTAGTGACTGCCCTATTGGATTTCACACTTGCATGGGATCTGTAGCCCCATTGTTCTGGCCAATGTCTCCCATTTGGAATGGGTGTATTTACCCAATGCCTCTACCACCATTGTACATAGGAAGTAACTAGCTTGCTTTTCATTTTACAGGCTCATAGGAGGAATGGACTTGCCTTGTCTCAGGTAAGACTTTGGACTTAGACTTCTGAGTTAATGCTGGAATGAGTTAAGACTTTGGGGGACTGTTGGAAGGCCATGGTTGTGTTTTGAAATGTGAGGACATAAGATTTGGGAGGGGCCAGGGGCAGAATGACATGGTTTGGCTCTGTGTCCCACCCAAATCTCACCTTGAATTGTAATAATCCCCACTTGTCAAGGGCGGGATCAGGTGGAGATAATTGAATTATGGGAGTGGTTTCCCCCATGCTGGTCTCATGATAGTAAGTTCTCATGAGATCTGCTGGTTTTATAAGGGGTTTCCTCCTTTGCTCAGCTCGAATTCTCTCTCCTGCCACCCTGAGAAGAGGTGCCTTCCACCATGATTGTAAGTTTCCTGAGGCCTTGGAACTGTGAGTCAATTAAACCTCTTTTCTTCATAAATTACCCAGTCTCAGGTGTTTCTTCATAGCAGCATGAGAACAGAGTAATACAGCCAGCATGGTTGGAGCAAAGCCAGGGATGGGGAGGGTGGTGTATGTGTGTGGGGGGTGAGGGAAGACAGGGAGCCAGCCCCAGGGGCTTGGGCTGTTCTTCTAATTCTAAGCACAAGGGTGATCTTTGGAAGTGATGAGCCAGGTATGGTTCTAGCCCTCATGGAGACTGCATTAGGGAGAAAGTGACTGTGCACAACCAAACAGGTAAATAAACAAAAGTTTGAATAGTGACATATGCTAAGGTAGGAGGTGGGACTCGACTCTGGATGTGGGACCCAGGTGCTGGGACAAATTGAGGACTAACTGAAACAGGGACAGGGTGGAAACAGCCATCCATAAGTCATGCCCACCAGTGTGCCATGTCAGTTTACTGTTTCCATGGCAACATCTGGAAGTTACTGCCCCTTTCCACAGCAGCTACCAGTAACCTAGAAGTTACTACCCTTTTTCTAGAAATTTCTGCATAGTCCACCCCTTAATTTGCATGTAATTAAAAGTGGGTATAAATATGACTTCAGGGCTGCCTCTGAGCTGCTGCTCTGGGCACACTGCTTATGGGGTGGCTCTGCCCTGCTCCACAAGAAGCAGTACCTCTGCTGCCACTATGCACTGCTGCTTCAATAAAAGTTGCTGTCTAACATCACTGGCTTGCCCTTGAATTCTTTCCTGGGTGAAGCCAAGAACCCTCCCCAACTAAGCCCCAATTTTGGGCCTTGCTTGCCTTGTACCAATGCTATCAAAATATTCAGGGTGTAGGGGGAGAGAGGGAGGGATGGGTGAGGAGCTGTGGTCAGGGAAGGTAGCCTGGAGGAGGTGCTACTAAAGAAAAGTTGGCCACGTGCAGGGCCAGAGGCAGAGCAGGCCACACACAGGCAGGGCAGCTGGCCCCCTGAGGTGCTCAGAGCCGGATGCTCTAAAGGTCGTCAGGAGGTAATTGGACCTGCACAAAATAGAGAAAGGAAAAGAGCAGAGCAAGGGGAGGCTGGAGTGATCCCTGTGGGCAGCAAGGTGCTGGACTGGACAACTCCAACACTGGGGCCACGTTGCTTCCAACCTTTTCTCTCTTATCAGTGTGTTGTGCATTTCCCCAAGCCAGTGCATATTGGCCACATGTTGTTTCATACCAGGGATGGGTTTACTGTAGTGGAGAATCCAATTCCCTCTAGACATTTGATGTTTGTTTTTTGTTTCATTTTGTTTTGCAAATTCTACGATAACAAGCAAAGGTGCAGTCTTGCCCATGTATCTTTGAGTAAGTATGGATGTTAAGTTCCTAGAATATGAATCACCAGGTAAAAAGTTTTTGAAATTACAATTATATTTGTTATCACCAACGGTCCTCTGGAAAAGCTGTCTTTGTTTATACACCACCTTTCCTGAGCTCCTTAACAGCAATGGGTATGTAGTCTTTTTTGTTGTTTCCAATAGAGGTGATGAATATAATATATTCTAATTTAATTTGTGTTTCTCTTACTAGCAGTGAAACTGGGCTTCTTTTCATGTGTCTGTTTTTGGAGGGGAGCGTTTGAAAATTGCCTGCCCATTTACTTTGCCCACTTTTCCATTGTATTGTAATTTTCCCTCACGACTTGTGAGAGTAATTTGTAATTTAGGGAAATTTGACCTTTGTCTAGCTTCTGGATGGCAGCTAATTTTTCCCAGTGTGTCTATTATGTTTTTAAATGGGTATTTTGCTGAAGTGAAGTCTTCCACTTTTACATAGTCAAATCAGTCCGCCTTTTCCATTCTGGCTTCTGGGCTTTTTTGTCATGCTTAGAAAGACTTTTTCTCACACCAGGATAAAAAATTCACCCACGTTTTCTTCTATTACATTTTTAGATTCATTTTTGACATTTGAATTTTGATACTTTTGGATTTTTTTCTTTTTAGTCTAAGAAAGTAGAGATTCAGCTTTATTGTTTTCCAAGTGCTTACACATTTATCCCAATACCATTTATTAAACATTCCATCATTTCTTCAATTTTCATGCCATTTTTATCAGCATTTAAACCCTCACATAATTCATGGGCTTATTTCTGGATGCTCTATTCTCCCCCATTGATGTATCTGTTCATATTTTGAATACTTTGTCAAGTTCAATTGAGTTTTTTTGTCAAAAAATTCAATTAGAATTTTGATTTACAGAGGATTGACATCTTTACAACTTTAAGTTTTTCTCTTCAATAAGAAGATATGACTCTCCAATTATTCTATCTTATTTTATGTCTTAGTTGAGCTTTATAGTTTTTTTCATGTAAGGCCTTCACATTTCTTAAATTTTTTTTCTTAGGCATTTTATACTTTCAGTTGCTATTGAGAATGAGCTCTTTTCCTTCATTATATTTTTAGCTGCTTATGTTTTATATAAAAGAAAGTTATTGATTTTGATATGCTAATTTTATAACTGACTACATTAATAAATTGGCTTGTTGTTTCCAATATTTTAAAAATCTTTACCCAGTGATACCATACTATTATTTTCAATGATAAATTTGTCTCCTCTTTCCAATTTGTATGCATCTTATTTATTTATTCATTTTTTTTTAAAGACAGGGTCTTGCTCTGTTGCCCAGGCTGGAGTGCAGTGGTGTGATCATGGCTCATTGAAGCCTTGAACTACTAAGTTCAAGCAATCCTCCCACCTCAACCTCCTGAGTTGCTGGGACCACAGGCGTGCACCACCATGCTGAGATGATCTTAAAACATCTTTTGTAGACATAGGATCTCAATTTGTTGCCTAAATTGGTCTTAAACACCTGGGCTCAAGTAATACTCCTTCCTGGGCTTCTCAAAGTGCTGGGATTACAGGTGGGAGCCACTGAGCCTGGCCATGTATTTAATTGCATTGACTAACTCTTCCAGGAGAATGTTGTAATAAGTTATTGTTTGCCCTATGAGACTGTTACCTTGAATCAGCCCTTAGTGTTGAACTTTTCTCTTCTTTCTCCTGAGAGGTGGGTGGAGAGGCAAACCCGAGAGCTGTCTTGGCAGTGAGAGGCAGGCGTCAGGTGGGCCGATCTCTGCACTTTTCTCTTCTCTCCTTTAAGACACGGTTTGATTTGTTGGCTGAGATACTTAATTCCAGACCCACACTGTTTGATATGATAGCTATTAGCCAAACATGGCTTTCTAAGTTTAAATTTAAGTTAATTACAATGAAATAAAAGTTAAAATTCAGTGTCTCAGTTTCATTAGTCACATTTCAAGGGCTCAGAGCCACATGTGGCTTGTGGCTCCTGTACCTGACAAGGCAGACATGGGACATTTCTGTTACGGCAGAATCTTCTCCTGGGTAGTGCTGCTGTAGTCAGGCATCTCCACCCCCCACACAGCTGGTGAGCACTCATACCGCCTCTAGGCTTTCCAGATTCGTTTTCTAGGTTGTGGGGAGAATTCTTAGAGCTCTTAAAACTCCATTCTATGTGGCTCTTCTTGTTGTTTCCCTCCAGAATGCCCTCACCCTCTCTGTCAAACCAGGAAGTGCTGACAGGTTGCTTTCCCTTCCGGCACTGTGTTCCCTTACCGCCTTCCCAGTTCCACGCTCCTCTCTGAGGATGAGGGCAGGGTGGCCACATAGCGTCTCCTGTTTCACTGTCCCTTCAGAACTTTGCCACTGCAAGGTCAAGTGCGGGGTCTAATTTCCCTCCTCTTGCCACTCCCACAAGTAACCTGTAGCAGGTGGCAGAGTGATGCTACATGGTGCGGGACCAGGTGTGAAGAGGCCGCGTGCAGCTTCTGCCTCAGGCAGGCACATGTGTCTGTGTCAGCACACACCTCAGCAGGCCCTGAGCTTGTGTGAAGAGAGATGCCCGGCAGCCACCGCCGCTCCAGCCACCAGCCACAACAGCAGCAGAGGCCCCACGCCCAACAACCTAGCCAAGCCCTTTCTGCATTCCTGACCCACAAAAGAATGAGGATAATAAATTGATTTTTTGTTGTTGTTTTAAGCTACTAAATTTTAGGAATTGGAGCAGAAGGGAAATGAGTGTGTGTGTGTGTGTGGGGTGTGTGTGTGTGTGTGTGTGTGTGTGTTGGTGGAGCTGTGTGTCAGTTCCTTCCAATCTTTCTGGCCATGGAGAGAACTTTCAGGCATTGTAGGTTGGCGCTGGGGATGTGGAGTGATGCTGGGGATGTGGGGTGATGCATGGACATGACTTCCATCCTGCTCCTGTTAGAACAATAACTGTGGCGTTTTTGTGGGAAGGCGCGCTCGGCTTCTCTCTGTGCTGGCATTTGGCGCCTACCTGTTGCCATGGCAGCCGTGATTGGCACTCCCTTTTCCATCCGGGAAGGGAAGCTGCTCCAAGTAGACTTTTTCTGATTCCCCAAATCTCTCCTCATCTCAGTAATTCTCAGCTGTTAGAATTCAGACGTCTTCTCCGTTCCTTTTATGCTTTCAAGTAGAAAATCCCTTAGCTCTTCTGCCTAGGCTGTTTGAATTGGTATCAAAATCACATTTGATTTGAATTTAGCTGCCAAGACTCTAAGTTTTGTTGGGGCTAATACTCCTTCTCTGCAGCTTCCTTCAGAGTTTGCGTCTCAGTCTCTCCGACTTAGCCACCCCTGGGGGCTCTCCAGGGAGGGTGGAGAGGAGGCAGCTGGCTTCCTGGGTGAGGCCCTCTCTTTCTGCCACTCAGCACTGTGCTGAGTGGCAGAGCCCCCTGACTGGTACTCTGGCCGTGATGGGGGTGGCGGTGAGGAGGAAAAGTCCAGGAAACCACAGAGAAGCTGAGATTGGGAGTAGACCGGGTGGAGATCACGTGTGTGCTGGGGAGGGAGTGGGTAAAGGCCTCAGGGGGCACGGAGCCGGCCACTCAGCCTCACGGGGACAACACATCCATCCAGCCATCCGCACATGGGAAACAGCACATAGGAAGTGGGAGTGCAACTTTAAATAAGGTGGTCAGGGCGACCTTACCGGGAAGGCAGCAGTGGCTGATGCAAAGGAGGTTGGCGTGGGGGGCTGTGGGTGTTTGGGTGACAACACCCATTTGAGATGGGAACAGTAGGTGTGGAGGCAGGGCATTCCCGGCTCCTTCAGGAAACAGCAAGGTGAGACCTAGGTGGTGAGGCCAGAGGGGTGAGGGGGACCAGACTGGGCTTTCATAGAGGGGAGCAGCAGCCAGAAGGGGAATGGGGTTCTGATCTGGTGGCCCCTGTGTTCCCTGCTCTTCTGAGCAGGCATCCAGTGTTTGCTGGAGGAGCTCTGGGAGTGTGGGTTTGCAGAGCTTCCCTATGGGGAGCTCACCGTTGATCACGCCCCGGGCAGATGAGCCCGCAGAGGCTGGGGCCTGCAGGACCCTGTGAACTCCTTCTCTTTTGTGCCGAAAACCCAGGCGGAAAAAGTGCCACGTGGGCATTGTCGTGGGAATCCTAACAGGAGGTACTTCCAGGGACAAGACGACCAGGGCTCAGCGAGGGCACCGAGCCACTGCAGCCCCGCACGTACACATCTGCACAGATGCGCGGCCAGCACAAGCCCCTGGTATTGGACAGGAAAGCCCCGGGGAGAGACAGAGAGCAAGGGTCAGGACTCCTCACCCTGCACCCAGGCCTGGCGCTGCCTCTCCTTAGAGCCCCCTGCTTTCTCCAAAGGAACAGGCGAGGTGGCTGGGCTTCTCCACAGCCTTCCCTGGGGGCTCCCCTGTGGGTCTTTCTGCGGCTCAGAGGTGGGAGGCCCCAGCACCTCTCCGCCTGGGCGGGGCAGGCAATAGGAGCAGAGGACATCCTCCTGACCTGTAGGGCGTCTGAGGCCACCTTCCAGGGGACCTGCCCCCGCCTGCGCAGCAGCCTCGGGGGATGCGGGGGCTGCACCTGTAGAAAGGCTGACAACCCTGGCCAGGGCGTGAGGAGGCTGAGCGGGGCCCAGAGGTGTGGGCCAGGAGAGAGGACACCCGCTGTCGGGGGAGGGGAGCCCTGTGTCCAGGAGGGAGGCCGCTGCCAAGACCTGTGCCGAGGGGTGGCTAGGACACACTTGGACTCTGCACACATGGCCCGCAGGGGAACCCTGATGTCTAGGGTTACCCACTTCTCCAGAGGGATGCCATTTGCGAGAGGGCCAAGCAGGGAACCCTTGACCCCTGACAAATGAGGCTGCTTTTATTAGGAACTTCCTCTACAATGAGCACCACACTCCTGGCAGGACGGGAAGAAGCACAGCTTCGGGGTTGGCCAGACCCAGTCTCCTTTTCCAGTCCTGCCACTGCCTGGTGCCAGACTTAGCATGTCTCTGTGCCTCTATTTCTTCATCTCTAAACTGGGCACAGTGATGGTCCCCGCCTCACAGATAGTTTCGTCCCTCACCAGCAAAAAATATAACAGGAGCTCAAGGCTCTTGGCTCCTGCTCCCTGCTCAGAGCAGGCTTCGCTCCTGCGCTGACATTTCATCCACTCTCTCCTTGACGACTTGACTTTTATTTTTTATTCCATGATGTCTCTTTGGTCTAACTAAACTGCACTATCATCCATTCATTCTGAAATGTTACTTGTCATTTTGTTTTAGGAGTTTTTGCTTAAAAATAGCAGTGGTTTCGGATTTTTTAAAAAACTCCTATGTTTTTTAACAAGAAAGTTTAGCCTATTTACTTAAATGCCATAACTATTTGGTCTCATTTCTGGTGTTCTTTTCTGCTTTCTCACTTCATTTCCTTGCTATCTTTTTGCTCTTTTAATTTCACTGTCTTTGATTTTCCCACTAGTGACTGGGAAGTAGACTTATATTTAATTTTGCTTGTTTACCTTTATTTTATTTTTAAGTGGACCTATGTCGTAAAAATGAATATCAAAAATAAAGTGATAACTATTGATTTCTCTCTCTGTAAAAACCATCTCCCCCTCTCCACTGCGTTTTCTAGGTAATAGCTAGGATTTTAGATGCAATTTTCATTTTTAATTTGTTCATTAATTTTATTATTATGCATCTTCTAGTTCAGAAAATAATTGTCAGTACTGAGAATCTCTTTCTTTTCTAACTTAACTTTCCCATTCCTGAATCTTAATTAGGTGGAATATTTTTTCTACCGATTTTTCCAGAAGGTTGTAATGTATGAACTCATGGATATCTGAGATGATCTTTCTGTTGGTCTCACACACGAACAACAATTTGGGCGGACATTGACTAATTTTTTAAAATTTACATCTAATTGTGTAAATCAAAGTTATAAGTGTACATAAAGAGTCACAGATGATTTTGGCAAGGCTTGCCATGAAAAATAGTATTCTTCCTTTCATCTTTCCTCATTTCCCAGGTCCTGAAGGAAACCGCTTTCAATTTTTTTAGCAGATCCCTTTTGGATTTATCTCCTCACCTCTACAGAACAAGCTTATATTGTTATTTGTTGATTTTATATTTCATTTCAAGCAATGTGTGTTGACTTCTTACTCAGGAAATGAGGGTTTAGCGCTCTTGCAAAACTTGTCCCCTCCCCCCGTGATGTAGACGTGCATCCTATCACAGTTCTTGTGGTATGGTAAATTTGCAATTTGGTTTAGATCCATATTTAGAGTTTATACAGTTTTTTGGTGCAAAACCATACAGCAGTCTACAGTTATTTTCCTTTATTGGACAACTTATATATTTCCTGGAGTTACTGTTTGCTTAATTTTCTATAACTTACCCTGTTAATAATCTGTTCTATTAATTTTCTATTCTTTTGTTATGAATTCATGTTCAAACAGCCTCTAATTGAACCAGTCTGCTCTAGTATCTTCAAAGCATCAGTGACTCTACTTATGCCTCCTCCTCCTCCTCCTTCTTCTCCTTCTCCTTCTCCTCCTCCTTCTTCTTCTTCTTCCTCTTTTTTTTTTTTTTTTTTTGAGATAAGTCTCCCTCTGTTGCCCAGGCTGGAGTGCAATGGTGAGATCTTGGCTCACTGCAACCTCCTACTGCTGTGCTCAAGGGATTCTCATGTCTCAGCCTCCTGAGTAGCTAGGATTACAGGTGCATACCACCATGCCCGGCTAATTTTTTTTTTTTTTTTTTTTCAGATACGGGGTCTCGCCATGTTGGTCAGGCTGGTCTCGAATTCCTGGCCTGAAGTCGTCTGCCCACCTTGGCCTCCCAAAGTACTAGGATTACAAGCGTGAGCCACTGTGCCTGGCCTACCTATGCTTTCTTCTAAGGGGCTTTTCCCAGAACCTTCTAGTGTCTATGGGAACCCTGCCCTTTGCTCCTCATGGACAGCACTTCCTTCACCCCATCCTGAACACCCTTCCCATTTCTCAGGCTAAAGCACCCATTTCCTGAGTTCCACATCTCTGTCTTCCTTAGTCATTCCTCATTTTTTGAGGCATTGAGTATTTGAATGTATTTTTATTCTCCTCTCACTCTTACTTGGCTAGATATAGAATTCTAGTTAGAAATGAGTTTCCTGGGAACGTTGAAGATGTTGCTTTGTTGTCTTCCAGCTTCCAGGCTGCTATTGCAAAGCTAGTGCCAGTGCCATCTTTGACTTTGCACAGTTGTAAAATTTGTTTTGTTGTATTTTATTCTCTCTCTCTGGAAGTCTTTTGGGCTGTCTGTTTATCCTCAGTGCCCTGAAGTTTCATACATGTATCTTGATGTAGGTCCACACCTCTCCATTTTTCTGGCCCTTCTGACCTAGAATCTCCAGAACTGTTCTGGGACACTTTCATGAACTTTTTCCCCTTGGTAATTTCTTCTACTTTTTCTCTGTTCTCTCTTTTTTGGAACTCCTATTACCCAAATGTTGGGCTTCCTGAACTGGCCTTCTAACTTTCTGATCCTTGTTCTCCTTTTCCTGTCTCTCTGCTCCATCTTACGGCTTTCCTCGACTGTATCATCCAAACTCTTCTCTTACATTTTCCATTTCTACTATCACATTTTAAGTTTCCAAGAGCTCTTTCTATGTTCCTTTTGTTTAATAATACTCTATTCTTATTTCCTGGTCAGAATATCATTTCTTAGCGCTCTGCTTGTATTAATGATAATGATTTTGAAGTTTTCTTCCTCCCAAGTAACCTTTGTTTCCTTTAAGTTGCTTTTCTTGTTTTCCATTTGTGTTTGTTCTGACCTCTGTCTCTCATATCAGAGGCTTCCTCAGATGTCTGACAATCCTTTTGATTGCTCATATTTAAAAGCATGGCACTAAAACACTGGTGGAAAGTTTTGTGCATGTGCATGTGTGTGCATGTGCATGTGTGTGCATATGTGTGTGTGTGTGTCATGGGAAATTGTGGCTTGTCATTGTAGGACTTCATTGTAGGATGATCTGCTTGGGCTGTTTCATTGGGAGTTCCTCAGATCTTTCTTCCTGATCAGGTTGAATTCCCCTGAGTATCTGAGGCCTGGAAAGAGAAGCCTGGGTACCAGTGTTCTGGATGCTGGTGGGGAACAGGGCTGGTGTGTTCAGCACTGAGTGTGTCAAGTTCATTCATTTCCCCTGGTTCTTCTGACTTTAACTGTGCCCAATTCAGAGACCCCTATT
The DNA here is from genome assembly GCF_000001405.40 of Homo sapiens. Lineage (NCBI taxonomy): Eukaryota > Metazoa > Chordata > Mammalia > Primates > Hominidae > Homo > Homo sapiens. Next base: position 127,346,334 of record NC_000003.12, on the reverse strand, counting down.
CTGGTTTCTAGAAGTTAGCATTCTGCCAGAATGAGGTTGTCCAGTCTGATGGAGAGGCTCTGGGCATCTGCCTGCTTATGAAAATACTTTCAGTCCACTCTCTGTTTCTATTACTGCCTTCACCTCTGCTGCAGAGGCACCTTGTGCTTCCGTTCTCAGGACTTTTGGAGCTGCGGTTTATTAGGCTTCCCACAGCTGGCTCGGGAGTCAGCTTTCTAAAATCAGCGAATTCATTTATCCCTCATCCATCTCCTTTCCTGACTCTAACATTTGTTGCTATTTTCTCCTCTTCTGTTCTCTTTGTCCTTATAAGTGTAGGCATTCCCCCTCCTTTTAACATCTTATTGCCGTGTTAGTGGGAAGTCAGGATGGAGCAGAGGTTAATATCCATTTTTGGTCAGTTACATTTAAGCAGAACTCAGCATTGAGTTCTGAGTCCCCCCATGGGTAAGAGGAGGAGGCCTATTCTTTCATAGTGACACCCACCTCACATTCATTGTTGGCAGCCAATCTCACAGTCCCAGTAGCCGGATTGTGTAACTGATAAATTTCTCTTTCACATTAGCTTCTAGAAAGTTTTAAGACATATTTATGCCCTAAATATTTGCTGTAGCAGATCTATAGATTATCTTAAAGACTTTTTTTAAGACACAGGGTCTTGCTCTATTGCCCAGGCTGGAGTGCAGTGGCACCATCACAGCTCACTGCAGTCTTGAACTCCTGGGCTCAAGCCTCCTGAGTAGCTGGGACTACAGGCATGAGCCACCATACCTGGCTAATTTTTGTAGAGATGAGGTCTTGCTATGTTGCCCAGGCTGCCAGTTTTAACATCTTAATAGATTCTCTGCACTTATCTTCACAGAATGAGTCATTAAAGGAATGAAAAGTCCATTGCTGGGATAGACCAGCCATAACATGGAGCAGTTACTGACTTCAAAAAACACATTAGGTTTTTTTGTTTGTTTGTTTTGTTTTGTTTTGTTTTGTTTTGACAGAGTCTCACTCTGTCGTCCAGGCTGGAATGCAATGGCATGATCTCAACTCACTGCCTCCTGGGTTCAAGCAATTCTCCTGCCTCAGCCTCCCGAGTAGCTGGGATTACAGGTGCACGCCTGCCACCATGCCCGGTTAATTTTTGTATTTATGGGGTTTTGCCATGTTGGCCAGGCTGGTCTCGAACTCCTAACCTCAGGTGATCCGCCCACCTCAGCCTCCCAAAGTGTTGGGGTTACAGGCATGAGCCTCCGTGCCCAGCCACATTAGGTTTAATATGAGACTATCGTAATATCAAGATTGTCTGGGGACAGGGTCTCGTTATGTTGCCCAGGCTGGTCTTGAACTCCTGGTCTCAAGCGATCCTCCTGCTTTGGCCTTCCAGAGTGCTGGGATTACAGGCATGAGTTACTGCGCCTGCTTGTATTATCTTTAGTTATAGGCCTTGCCTTTGGTTCCACCCTTCCACATCCTTATTTGTTTATCTTACTTAGTAACGCTTTCCAAGGATGCTTTTGTAGTATTGATTATGTATACATGACATAGTTCATTTTGCAACCACCCACCTATAGTAACTGACTCAGGTGAAGGTCATCCGTGAATGCAACAACCTTCAGGTCAAAGTCTGTTGGGGAACTGGAGAGTCACAGGGTCTTAAAGCATCACCCTGAAAACTAGTTGTTAATTTAAAAACATGGAAAAGGCATCTTTTTATGATGGAATCCGAGGGACACCACCTTCACCAAGGGATAACACTTAGCATCCCCAGCAGTGGGGCGGACATATGTCATGCAACTCCTGAGGCAAGACGGTAGGAAGAACCCCTGCCACCTATGGAAATCTCCTGCCCAAGTGTCTAACCTGGGTGTAATGATGAGCATACAGTTGGCCAAATCTAGGTGCTGTCCATAAAATCTGGACTCTTCAAAACCTTGATGTCATGAAAGACAACAGAAAATCAGGAGAAGTGTTCTAGATTAAAGGACACTAAAAAAATCGGTCTAATGCAGTGCAAAATCCTTAATTAGATCTTGGGTCATAAAACAATATATGAAGGAAATTTGGGGGCAATTGGGCAATTTTACTATGTGCTAGATAGTAGATAATGTTAGTGTTTAAATGTTAAATTCCTTGGGTGTGGTTACAGTATTGAAGTTTTTAGTCTAGCTCCCTATCCTGGAGTCTAAATAGCTTTTATTTATTTTATATATGTTATGGGCTGGCTTGTGTATTCCCACAATTCGTATGTTGAAATCTTAACCCCTAGTACCTCAGAATGTGGTTATATTTGGAGATAGGGTCTTAAAAAGGTAATTGAGTTACAATGAGGCTGTCAGGGTGGGTCTTAATTCTATGTGACTGGTATCCATATAAGAATATCAGACACACAGACCACCAAGAGGAAAGGACATGAGAAAATAGTGAGAAAGTGGCCACACACAAGCCAAGGAGAGTAGCCTCAGAAGGAAGCAGCCGCTCTGACACCTTCATCTCAAACTTTCAGCCTCCAGAGCTGAGACAATGAGTGTCTGTCGTTTATGGCACCCAGTCTTGGTGCTTTGTTGTGGCCGTGCTAGCAAAGTGAAACAATACATTTTTAAAAACTGACTCTTTGGGAGTCCCCATGCACTTGGAGTCCATGAGCCAATGGGATATGGAAAGATGCTTAACCATTTCAGGGCTGGTTTCTCTGTTCATATTCAACTCTGCTGCTTAGAAACAGGGACCCATGCTGATGCCCAAGGGCAAAAAGCCTCACTTCCTTTAAGGAAGATGAGCAGGCCTGACCCTGATGCCCAATAACAGGCAATCCTAGGCTTTTTGATTTTCTTGCTTTTATTCCTTTTTGTTGGTGACCTTGTGCTGTTTGTTTATAAATGATCTATTTTGTTTAACCAAATATTAAAAATGGAAAACTCCGTATATAAAAAAATTGACTCTTTGGAACATTGAGCAAACATGATTCAAAGGGAGTGATTGTGAAAGCTAGGGCCTGTGCTGAGCCTTCTCTGATTGGCCTTAGGTGATTAAAAAGAGTCCTGTGGTCACTTTAAGTCACGTTTCAGTAATTGAGAGTGTCCAAGTCCAAGTCATTGAAAAATGTGTCCTCTCCCCTCCTGAGTGCCACCGAGGGTTGGTGGTTTATGGCGGGAGGTGAGATAGTCCTTCTTTAGGTACATTTCTCTCTTCTTGCCCCACTCTGGAGCAGAGGAGACCTAAGGCAACAGGAGTGTTCACCTGTGACTAGTGCTCTGCTCAGAGGCTATCTCCCAGTTATCTGGGCTCCTTCTGGCGCAGGCTTTTCTGGGATCCTGGCAGCCCCGTTCCTCTGGTTTGCCCTTCTCTCAGCATGGACCTTCTCTGTTGGAGTCCTACCGCCCCCGTTGGGCAGGATGAAGAACAGTCCTGGCTGTTTCTCTCTCCCATGTGGCCACATCAAGCGCACAACCTACTCTTCCCCCTTCACATTGTCCTGGTTTCTGGTGTAGCTGCTGTCCACGCAGAGGTCATGTGCCATGCAGCCGGTGCAGCTTCGGCTTCAGAGCTATGACTTGCCCGGGCCCCTTCCCAGATCCTGAGGGCCCCACCAGGTGCTTCCATGGTAATTTGATATTCACGTCCATAGCAAGGGGATCCCAGATTGTGTACGCTGCAGGCTCCACAGAACCTGGATCCGCCCTTTCTCCCAATATGGGTCTTTTTTCTCTCAGCCCTGAAGCTCAAGAGCCACAACCACCTGCTGCCCTAGTCCTCAGCTATGTATCACCTGCCAGCCCTTGTGTCCCCCAAACTCAGAGGTACACCCCACATCCTGCTGAAGGTCCTCCCCAGAGCCCCTCCCACTGAGTAAGAGGTGAGGGGCACACTCCCCTTCATCCACTCCCCTCAGCCCTCCCAGCACACAAGCCACTCTCTGCTCAACATCCTTCTTCAGAAACGGTCTCTCTCCACTCGACTCTTACTCTTGTTGCAAGCCATCTTCTTTGTGAATTCTGCATCCGGCCTCTCAACACCTTGAGGTGTGGCATCTATTGGATTTGGACATTTCCATTGAAATTCCCAATTGAGCATCCAGTTGCATTTAAACACATTTATTTTAAATGGGAACACTACATCAAAGATTGCTAGGGCTAGCTATATTTTAGTTAAATATACCTGATAATAAGTTTCTATAGACTGAATGTTGGTGTCCCCTCAAAATACCTGCTGAAATGGAATCCCCCATGTGATAATGTTAGGAGGTGGTGCCTTTGGGAGATGACAAGGTCGTGAGGGTGGAGCCCTCGTGGTTGGATTAGTGCCCATAAACAAGAGGCTCCAGAGACATCCGGTTTCCCCCTTCCCATGGTGCAGGGACACGGTAAGAAGGCACCACCTAAGAATCAGATAGTGGGCCCTCAGCA